>NW_025791782.1:0-150302 GCF_000001405.40 Homo sapiens
TTCTATCTTGTCATTGTCAATAGTGAGCAGCTACTTTATCCAGAAATTTTGGCAGTTAAAAGATTATACCAAAGCAGAGTTGTTATTCTTAGTTGGCACTAAGAAACCAATAGTCAAAAGAAACCTGTGGTCAATAGAAAAGCAAATTGTTGATCTTATCCATAGTGAATACTTTGCATTGCTTGTTCAGTACAGTAGTTGAGTAATGAAAGAAAAATATTGTTCAAGGATTACAAGGAGGCTTTTTTTTTTTTTTTTTTTAAACAAGCAGTCCTCCTGCCTCAGCCTCCCGAGCAGCTAAACCACAGGCACACACCACCACACTCGGCTAATTTTTAAAAATTTTTTTGTAGAGACGGTCTCGCTATGTTGTCCAGGCAGGTGTCAAACTCCTGGCCTCAAGCAATCCTCCTGCCTTGGCCCCCCAAAGTGCTGGGATTACAGGCATGAGTCACCTTGCCCAGCTCAGTTTTTTTTTTCCTTTTAATAATAGATTACAGGGTAATACTGAAAAATCACATCATGAAATGAGATTTTAACAGGACATCCTCATATTAAAATGTAGTAAAATTAGTTTTAATACTGAATGTCCTGTTTTTTATTTAAAGACTTTCATCCATTTATAATTAATAAACATGATACTTGATACTTGCTAATGCTTTATTACATTTGATAGCCCTTGTAGTTTATCAGCCTTTAACTTGAAGAACAGATTTTTTCCACAGTTGATAATTGATAAATATATTGTTTCATTCTTTATCACGCCACATTAGCCACTTAAGTAATGGTGGTCAAATGTTCCGATTACATCCATTATTATAAATTACCTTTTTGTTGCTATAATGTAAAAAAATCTGGATAATTGCAATGATTATTCAGACAAATTTAAAGTGGGTATTGGGTACGTTTTCAGTTATCCTAATACTCAAGTGAAAATAATTGAGTTCACAAGAAGAGTAAATTAATTGCATCGGTTTTTAAATTTTAGTAACATATGGATCCCTTTGAGAAGGAAAGTTCTTGTGGACTTAGTATTGTCTTGAATTATTTTTGTTAAACTATTGTTTAGTGCATACATTGAACTTAGGCTCTTAGATCTTTTTTTTTCTTCTTCTTTAGACCTGTAACAAAACTGCAAGATCTTTTAAAATTATAAAGTGGGCCCGGCAGAGTGGCTCACGCCTGTAACCCCAGCACTTTGGAAGGCTGAGGCAGCCAGATCACCTGAGGTCAGGAGTTCGAAACCAGTCTGGCCAACATGGTGAAATCCCGTCTCTACTAAAAATACAAAAATTAGCCGGGCATGGAGGTGCGTGCCTGTGGTCCCAGCTACTTGGGAGGCTGAGGCATGAGAATCGCTTGAACTTGGGAGGCGGAGGTTGCAGTGAGCTGAGATCGTGCCACTGCATTCCAGCCTGGGTGACAGAGCAAGACTCCGCCTCAAAAAAAACAAAAAAAGCTTCATTGCTAAAAACTAGGTAATTTTTAATGAAATGTGAACTTTATTAAGTTGTGTTTATCAAACATGTTGGCATGCTTGTTATTAAACCCTCCCCATGTTAAGTCCTTATAAAAGGCTGCTTACTTGGTACTTGTATGTAGATGATAATATTGAGTTCATAGGTAAATATATGTACATTATTGTCAACTCCTGGTTACAGAGATGATGATCAAGTCTGCCGGTCCCTCATCTGGCACCTCCTATCTGGTAGAGTGTAACTACCCATTAGCATAATGTTGTAAGCGGAACTGGATAGTAATATGGATAAGTGAAGCCATTGGCATGATATTCTAAACCGAACTGGATAGTAATATTGTGAAATGAAGCCATTAGCATAATGTTCTAAGCTTAACTGGACAGTAATATGGATAAATGAAGCAATTATCACAATGTTCTAAGCTGTACTGGACAGTAATATGGATAAATGAAGCCATTAGCATGATGTTCTAAGCCGAACTGGATAGTACTATTGATAAATGAAGAGCAGTCCAGAGGAATCTACTGCAAATCCTAGGGAAAACACCTATTTTGCCCTTTGCCCTGCGACTGTGGGCAGTTAGCCCTGTAACCTTCAGTTTATTCTGTAAAGGTTGTGCTTGCCTCTGAGTTGTCATTTAATGAAATAACATGAATAGGTTTAATCACGGTCTGATGCAGAGTGATTGATCAATAAATGGTAGCATTTCTTAATGTTATTAATCTAAGAATGCTTAGTCTATGTTAAGATTTGCATTTGTGGCCGGGCATGGTGGCTCACGCCTGTAATCCCAGCACTTTGGGAGGCTGAGGCAGGTGGATCACAAGGTATAGAGATTGAGACCATCCTGGACAACATGGTAAAATCCCATCTCTACTAAAAATACAAAAATTAGCTGGGCGTGGTGGCATGTGCTTGTAGTCCCAGCTACTCGGGAGGCTGAGGTTGCAGTGAGCCGAGATCATGCCACTGTACTCCAGCTTGGCAACAGAGTGAGACTCCGTCTCTAATAATAATAATAATAATAATAATAATAATATATACATTTGCATCAAGCCTGTACTTCTGTGTAAAGAATGGGTTGGTTTTTTAAAAGAGGTCATATGGGATGCCATTAAGGCATTTGTGCATTCTGAATTAAGTTAATTTCTGCCCGTGGTCAAAGGTGAACAGATATGCTTCTGGATGTTTGTGATTCTTGATGCCCCCACACTGCTGAGAGGACGCCCCTGCACGTCTTGCCGCAGGGGCCCTGATGGATGCATCTCAGGTTGGGCACAATTGCTTTGGTACCAGCAGCAGGCCATTAAGATGAGGTCCATTGGAAAGAGGTAACTTACTGGTAATGGAAAGCCAGGTTCACAAAGCTTGGGTTGAAAAGTCCATGGTTTAACTACATTATAATAGGAAACTCAATTCTTCATATATGCAACCTATGTAAAGTAACATGATTAATTAGAAAAAGGAGATTACATTTTAAGCTTATCTTTTCCACTAGTCACTTGTGAATGTAATCACAGTGAAGTCATATGAATTGTGAAAGAAAGTCGATTTCTACTTTTAATAAGCATCAGTGGGTGGTGCTTCCAGCAAATCTTGAGACTAGGGCTTCTGTCTTATTAATCCTTGCCTTTGGGCAGGCACTGTTAGATGCTGAAGATATACAGCCTCTTTTCTCACATGTACAATGTGGTGGAACTTAGAGATAGGCTGTTTATTTATTTATTTATTTATTTATTTAAGATGGAGTATTGCTGTGTCACTCAAGACTAGAGTGCAGTGGCACCATCTCAGCTCACTGTAACCTCTCCCTCCTGGTTTCGAGCAATTCTCGTGTCTCAGCCTCCTGAGTAGCTGAGACTACAGGCGTGCCCCACCACGCCCAGCTAATTTTGTGTATTTTTAATAGAGATGGAGTTTTGCCTTGTTGCCCAAGCTGGTCTGGAACTGCTGGGCTCAAGTCAACCTCTCTTCTCGGTCTCCCAAAGAGCTGGGATTACAGGTGTGAACCACCATGCCCAGCCAGGACTAAATTTCTGAGGTTGTTGAAAAGCGCTACAAGTGTTATTAATAGCTTGCCTTTTAAGGATAATATAAACTATACCTAAATATAAAGAGTTTGCTCCTCATCCTGGTGTTTGGTAACTGTATTCATTAAAGAGATAAGCCGGGGCCGGGCGCCGTGGCTCACGCCTGTAATCTCAGCACTTTGGGAGGCCGAGGCGGGCAGATCACGAGGTCAGGAGATCGAGACCATCCTGGCTAACACGATGAAACCCCGTCTCTACTAAAAAAATACAAAAAAATTAGCCAGGCGTAGTGATGGGCGCCTGTAGTCTCAGCTACTCAGGAGGCTGAAGCAGGAGAATGGCGTGAACCTGGGAGGCGGAGCTTTCGGTGAGCCGAGATTGCGCCACTGCACTCCAGCCCGGGCGAGAGTGGCACTCCGTCTCGGAAAAAAAAAAAGAAAAAAAAAAAAAGAGTTAAGCCGGGCGCGGTGGCTCACGCCTGTAATCCTAGCACTTTGGGAGGCCAAGGCAGGTGGATTGCCTGAGCTCAGGAGTTTGAGACCAGTCTAGGCAACATGGTGCAACCGCATCTCTACTGAAATACAAAAAATTAGCCGGGCATGGCGGCGTGTGCCTGTAATCCCAGCTACTTGGGAGGCTGAAACAGGAGAATCGCTTGAGTCTGGGAGGCGGAGGTTGCAGTGAGCCAAGATCACGCCACTGGCGACAGAGCAAGACTCCATCTCAAAAAAAAAAAAAAAAAAAAAAAAAAAAAGAGTTATATTGTTGGCTGGGCACAGTGGCTCACCCCCGTACAATCCCAGAACTTTGAGAGGCCGAGGTGGGTGGGTCACTTGAGCCCAGGAGTTTGAGACCAGCCTGGGCAACATGGTGAAACCCTGTCTTTACACAAAATACAAAAATAGCTGGGCATGTTTCAGCTACTTGGGAAGCTGGGGTGGGAGGATCACTTGAACCCAGGAGGTCAACGAGGCTGCAGTGAGCTGTGATCGCACAACTGGACTCCAGACTGGGTGACAAAGACCCTGTCTCAAAAAAAAAATTTTTTTTTTAACTTTTAGGTTTGGGGGTACATGTGATGGTTTGTTACATAGGTAAACATGTTACGGGGTTTTGTTGTACATATTATTTCATCACCCAGGTATTAAGCCTGGCACCCAATAGTTATCTTTTCTGCTCCTCTCCCTCCTCCCACCTCTAGACCCCGGTGTCTGTTGTTTCCTTCTTTGTGTTCACAAGTTCTTATTTAGCCCCAATTTATAAGTGAGAACATGTGGTATTTGGTATTCTATTCCTGTTAGTTTGCTAAGAATGATAGCCTCCAGCTCCATTTATGTTCCCGCAAAAGACATGATCTTGTCTTTTTTTATGGCTGCGTAGTATTCTACGGTATATACGTACCACATTTTCTTTTATCCAGTCTGTCATTGATGGACATTTAGGTTGATTCCATGTCTTTGCTATTGTGAACAGTGCTGCAATGAACATTTGCATGCGTCTTTATGGTAGAATGTTTTATATTCCTCTGGGTATATACCCAGTAATGGGATTGCTGGGTCAAATGGCAGTTTTGCTTTTACCTCTTTGAGGAATCGCCATAGTGCTTTTTACAATGGTTGAACTAATTCACACTCACACCAACAGTGTATAAGTATTACCCTTTCTCCACAACCTCGCCAGCATCTGTTGTTTTTTTGGCTTTTTACTAATAGCCATTCTGACTGGTGTGAAATGGTATCTCATTGTGGTTTTGATTTGCATTTCTCTAATGATCAGTGATATTGAGCTTTACCTCTTAGACTCTGGACAGCCCACACATTCTCGGGAATAGTTTAGTCTTGACAAAATGGAAACTGGAGTAGTCAATTTCTTGGTGCTAACTTCTCAGTCATTTAATCTACGTGTGTGGTGTGTGTGTGTGTGTTCTGAGACAGGGTCTCGCTGTGTCACTCAGGCTGGAGTGCAGTGGTGGTATCTCAACTCACTGCAACCTCTGTCACCTGGGCTCAAGTGATCCTCCCACCTCAGCTTCCTGAATAGCTGTGAATATTGGCATGGGCCACCATGACCAGCTAATTTTTGCAATTTTTGTAGAGACAGGGTTTCGGCATGTTGCCCAGGCTGGTCTCGAACTCCTGAGCTCAAATCATCACCTGCCTTGGCCTCCTAAAGTGCTGGGATAACAGGCATGAGCCACTGTGCCCGGATAATTTTTGCATTTCTTGTAGAGATGGGGTCTTGCCATGTTGCTCAGGTTGGTCTTGAACTCCTGAGCTCAAGTGATCTGCCTTTCTTGGCCTCCCAAAGTGCTGGGATTACTGGCATGAGCCACTATGCCCAGCTAAGTTTTGCAGTTTTTGTGGAGATGGGGTCTTGCCATGTTGCCCAGTTTGGTCTTGGACTCCTGAGCTCAAGTGATCCTCCTTTCTTGGCCTCCCAAAGTGCTGGGTATAAGGCATGAGCCACTGTGCCTGGCCTACACCGTGTATTCTAAAAGCATAGAATGCTTTATGGTGTATGGAACCTTGCTGGTCCTGTGGGAGGCACACAGAATGATAGTTTTATTCATATGTAGTGTACAGTCTGTCTTTTGAAAGGACATCATTTTGGTATACACCAGTGCTTCTCAGATTTTAATGGCATTCCTGAGGGTTTGTTAAAGTGCAGATGCTAATTCAGTAGGTCTATGGTGGGACCTGAGGTTCTGTTTCTTACAGGCTTCCCATGATGGCCACTGGTTGGCAGACCACACTTTGAGGAGCAAAGGGCCTAATAAACAGTGGTTTGGGAGGAGGCTTAATGGAAGTGTGTCTGGCGGGCACCGTGGAGTAGGAAATGTAGACCATGTTTGGGGTGCATATACTCAAATTCTCTTTACAGAGGAGCAGGCACGATCTCACCACGGTGTCCTTGGCTATTTTGGTTTTGTCTCCCTAACACTCTCCCCACTCACTTTTCATGGCCCTCTGCTGGAACTTCCTCTGGTGTTCTCCAGCTCCAGACTTTTGACTTGAGACCTTCTGACTCTCAGAGCCTGTGTATTTGGTATATTTGTGTGTGGGCAGGGATGGGCATAGAGGGCAATTTCACCACAAATATTTAAATTTTAACATTGCCACATCACGAAAATCAGTTTCCTTTTAGATGTTCCCATCTGGGCTGTGTGTACAATAATCTTTATGATGTCTCTGGCACATCCCCTTGCTGAGGTTGGGCACCTTGTAGATGATCTGTGGGTGTGCACCTGCAGCACTGAGTCTTCTAGGCTGTGTTTGCAGGGCCCTTCACCTGATGCCACCTCGCAGATTCTAACCTTCATCTCCGGGCACACTTGCCCTTTCCCCAGGCCTGGGAAGCTCCTCCTCCTCATCCCTGTTCCAGGCACATGACTGCTTCCTTTTGCAGAATGAATGAAATTTATTTCAGGGAAAAACATAGTAGGTAGGTTTTATATCCCAAAAGTGTCCTTCCATCTGTTAAGGCCAAGTTTAAATGTTACCTTTTCCACTAAAAATTGCAGGTCATGCTTATTTCTCTCTCCCTCAAGCTGTATTGATAAAGGGAAATAATGAGATGGAAGTCACAAAGTGCTTGTCGTGGTGTGTGTGCCATGCTCGCCAGCGCCAGCCACCCTGCCTGCTGCTGGCAGAGCACCTGGGTGTGAGGGTCAGGGCGGGTAGAAACAAGCTGTGGGGTGAGGTAGAAACGCCAGTGTATAGCGGAAGAGCGCGGCCTCTTACTCAGGTCTCATCTCAGCGCGGCAGAACTGTGGAGGGGCTTTAACTCAGTATACACTCCTGAAACATTTTTAAATGACCAGGGTCAATAGATATATGACAGATAGATACAAATAGATACATAGTAGATATTTGTCAATTTGTGAGGTAGAAAGCCTTGTAATGTGTTCCAAGCACTACAAACATTTTTCTGAGATTACGTTGTTATTTATCTAAGGCCTCTGTTAGCACTTTTGGTTGAATATGACTCTTCTCTAATTTTGAGATAATTTCTTTTTTTTTTCTGAGACAGAGTTTCACTCTTATTGCCCAGGCTGGAGTGCAATGGCGTGATCTCGGCTCACTGCAACCTCCGCCTCCCTGGTTCAAGCAATTCTCCTGCCTCAGCCTCCCGAGTAGCTGGGATTATAGGCATGTACCACCACGCCTGGCTAATTTTCTTTCCTTTCTTTTCTCTCTCTCTCTCTCTCTCTCCTTTCTTTCTTTCTTTTTTTTTAGACAAAGTCTTGCTCTTGTCCCTCAGGCTGGAGTGCAACGGTGCGATCTTGGCTCACTGCAATCTCCGCCTCTCAGCTTCAAGCGATTCTCCTGCCTCAGCCTCCAGAGTAGCTGGGATTACAGGCGCCTGCCACCACACCCAGCTAATTTTTGTATTTTTAGTAGAGATGGGGTTTCACCACGTTGGCCAGGCTGGTCTCCAACTCCTGACCTCAGGTGATCTGCCTGCCTTGGCCTCCCAAAGTGCTGGGATTACAGGCGTGAGCCACTGTGCCTGGCCTATATGATATATCATTGTTATTATATAGTCATCCTACAGTCATATAGAGCACTGGAACTCATGCCTCCTATCTAGCTGTAATTTTATATCCATGAGCAAATCTATCCCTATACTCTCCCTCCCCCTAACTTCACCAGCTATTTCTTATTTTAAAGAATTAACAACAACAACAACAACAACAACAACAACAACAACAACAAGAAAATCCTGTGAGCCAAGTGTAAGCTCCTTGGATAGCTCTTAATTCTGCAGTCTACTTGGGTTCTTCCATGTTTTAATATTGAACAGAGCAACTGATCCTGTAGCCTGTGTACTGTGGATGGCACACTTCCCCTAATCTATCCTTCAAATCACGGAGCAGTGACCACTCACAGGGTCATTCTTGTTTCCAGGATCCTGCATCTGTTGAAACCTTGGATCTCTGTTCTGAATCTTGCCTCCTATGACTGCTGCTCACTCCTTTCCCTCCCCGCCCAACTGGACAGGACTCTGATCCCTTACTCCACTAATGAAAGCTGATATCCTGTAAGTGATATCAGCTTTTTGGGTTTGGCCAATTTTGCTGAAGACTTGTGCTAGTGGAGGAGGGTTGAAGCATAGTTTAACACAAGGATATCAGTATTTTAAAAAACTCATGGTTCTCTTCCAACCATGGGCTGGGAGAGGATAATGGAAACAACAAAACTACACTGGCCACAGTTTTACTAGGAACATCCTTCTGCCCATGGAAACCACACCCTAGAACCCAGCGACAGATAGCCAGATGTCTACCACACATAAAGCACTGTATTCTTGATTTAAAAGGCCACAGTGATAAAATGCATACCTTCTTTTAGACATGAGTAAGAATTACGGCATCACACCAGGGCTCATCCTCTGGCCTGGCTTGTGAGGGATGGGGGGAAGCCTGTTAGACGGTCTGAGTTCAAATGCCATCCCTCCCACCAGCATTAGAGAAACCTGAGTCAGCTCACCCAAACCCAGGCTGAATCCCTGCTGGGCTCTGCCTCTGCATATCTACCTCCTAGTGATCTACCCTAGGGCTAGGTAGGGAGCTTTCCAAGATGCTACCTTGGAAATCACTTTTTTTTTTCCTTTAGGATGTAAAGAAACATATTCTCAAGCTGAGTTTCAACTACTTCAAACTTCAGAGCTTTTGTATGTATATGAACACACAAAAGCCCACACTGTGCCCAGCCATGCCTGGCTAATTTTCTATCTTTAGTAGAGACGGGGTTTCTCCATGTTAGTCAGGCTGGTCTCAAACTCCTGACCTCAGGTGCTCTGCCTGCCTCAGCCTCCCAAAGTGCTTACAGGTGTGAGCCACCGCGCCTGGCCGAAATACTTTCTTTTGAGAATATTTCTCATTGAATGGTGGCTCTAACTATTTGGTTACCACTGAGTTTCAAGATGTGTTCCCTGGGCCACGAAGAAGTCAGCTACTTGTCAAGGATCAGCTATGTTATGGGTGGATCCTGCTAGAACCAAAGATGGGAATAGTTTCATTACGAGCAGCCTTTGTGTTGAAAATAATTTCATCACTGAGAAGTATGTTTTTGTCAACAGATGTACTGCTTTTTGGAACTGTTTTCTCTAGGCAAACAGTAAAGGTACAAATAATCCCCCACGATGACTCAGAACATTTTTTGTCAGCTCAGGTTCTAAATATTTATGTTGTAGCCTGGAATGAAATTTTCATGAGTTCTGTATAATTTGAAAAACATTTTGCAAAGCAGTGTGGGAGACACCCACTGTTGGCCTCTTTGCTTTCATCTGAGAGGTGGACATTGATTAGTGGCCCCTGAGGGCAGATGTGTGTGATATGGGAGAGAGGGGATGCTGTGGGCCATAATTCCCCAAGTGAGGGTGAAAGCAGTCTGAGAGGACAAGCTGGCCCACAGAGACAGACGTGGGGTTGGACAGAGGGGAAGGTGCTGTGACTCAGGGCTGGCTCCTGTGGTTTCTGAAGCCCAGCTCCATGCATGCCCTTTCCATGGTCACGTGAGCTATGAGTAGGTTTATGATTGCCTTGCTTTTCTGTCCTAATACAAGCTGTAGATGGAATCTGGAAGTGTTGTTCATGGTGTAGTTTATTCATGCTTCAGTCAGTCTTTATCAAGTGCTTACTGGGGCCCAGGTATTGGCACATGCCCTGCTGGTTGGTGCGGCCCACCAGAAATATAGACCTTTCAGTCTCCAGGGTAACCATGTAGGGGCTAGACAGGTCCTCTTTGGATGTGTCAGATGCACCCTGGACATGTGGAGGTAGAGCATATAGGGGAAGCCAGTCCACCTTTAAGTTAACTTCATATGAAACGCTGCCCAGTGGGCTTTTTTTATTTTTATTTTTATTTTTTTCTGAGACAGAGTTTGGCTCTTGTTGCCCAGGCTGGAGTGCAATGGTGCGATTTTGGCTCACTGCAACCTCCGCCTCCCGGGTTCAAGCAATTCTCCTGCCTCAGCCTCCTGAGTAGCTGGGCTTATAGGCATGCATCACCACGCCTGGCTAATTTTGTAGTTTTAGTAGAGACAGGGTTTCTCCATGTTGGTCAGGCTGGTCTTGAACTCCCAACCTCACGTGATCTGCCTGCCTCGGCCTCCCAAAGTGTTGGGATTACAGGTGTGAGCCACTGCACCCAGCCCCAGTGGGCTCTTTATTAGAGGGGGGTGACCAACATCCACATCAGACCTACTCTTCTAAGCATGAATGACTCGTGTGCCCAGGGTGGTCACTAGACTTGAAATCATGTTGACCAGTGCTGGAATGTGGCCCTGCCATTCTATGAGGCCCACTCAGTTCTAACCTTGGTGGTGCTGAGCTCGGAGGACAGGAATGGCTGGGAGGTGAGGTTCTGGCATGCCTCTATTTCCATGGGCTTTTCATTTCTATTTATTTTTTATCTGAAATATAAACTACATACCATAAAATGCACCATTTTAAAGTGTACAATTCAGTGTTTTTTGTTATAGCCACAAGATTGTGTAACCATTACCACTAATTCCAGAACATTCCAGAATAATGAACATTTGGGCTGTTTGCACCTTTTGGCTATTATAAATAATATTGCTATACACGTTTGTGTACAAGTTTTTGTGTGGACGTTTTCATTTCTGTTGGGTAGGGGTGGAATTGCTGAGTCATACAGAAGCTATGCTTCACCATTTGAGGAACTGTTAGCATGTTTTCCAAAGTGGCTGTACCATTTCACATCCTCACCAGCAGTGGATGAGAGTTTCAATTTCTCCCTGTCCTCACCAACACTTGTTATTGCTCATCTTTTAAATTCTAGCCTTCCTGGTGGGTGTGAAGTGGTATTTCATTGTGTGTGTGTTTTTTTTTTTTTTTTTTTTTTTTGAGATGGAGTCTCGCTCTGTTGCCCAGGGTGGAGTGCAGTGGCACGATCTCAGCTCACTGCCAGCTCCACCTCCTGGGTTTGTGCCATTCTCCTGCCTCAGCCTCCTGAGTAGCTGGGACTACATGTGCCTGTCACCATGTCCAGCTATTTTTTTTTTTGTATTTTTAGTAGAGACGGGGTTTCACAGTTTTTTTTAAATTACTAGTGCTGCTGAACATCTTTTCATGTGCTTACTGGTTATTTGTGTATCTTTGGAGAAATCCTGTCCAACTCTTTTGCTCATTTGATTTTTTAAATTTTTATTTTATTTTTTATTTTTTAAGATGGAGTCTCTCGCTCTGTCACTCAGGCTCTGTCACTCAGTGGTGCAATCTCGATTTACTGCAAACTCTGCCTCCCGGGTTCAAGTGATTCTCCTGCCTCAGCCTCCCGAGTAGCTGGGGTTACAGGCGTGCACCACCACACCTAGACAATTTTTGTATTTTAATAGAGACAGGGTTTCACCATGTTAGCCAGGCTGGTCTCAAACTCCTGACCTCAAGTGATCCACCCGCCTCAGCCTCCCAAAGTGCTGGGATCACAGGCATGAGCCACCATGCCTGGCCTTTTTATTTTATTTTTTGAGATGGAGTTTCTGTCTTGTCACCCAGGCTGGAGTGCAATGGCACGATGTCGGCTCACCGCAACCTCCGCCTCCTGGGTTCAAGTGATTCTCCTGCCTTAGCCTCCAAGTAGCTGGGATTACAGGCATGTGCCACCATGCCTGGCTAATTTTGTCTTTTTAGTAGAGATGGGGTTTCTCCATGTTGGTCAGGCTGGTCTTGAACTCCTGACCTCAGGTGATCTGCCCGCTTCGGCCTCCCAAAGTGCTGGGATTATAGGTGTGAGCCACCGTGCGCCTGGCCTTTTTTTTTTTTTTTTAGATGGAGTCTCGCTCTGTCATCCAGACTGGAGTGCAGTGGTATGATCTCGGTTGGCTCACTGCAACCTCCGCCTCCCGGGTTCAAGTGATTCTCCTGCCTCAGCCTCCCAAGTAGCTGGGATTACAGGCACGTGCTACCACACCCGGCTAATTTTTGTAGAGATAGGGTTTCACCATGTTGGCCAGGCTGGTCTCAAACTCCTGACCTCAAATGATCCACTTGCCTCAGGCTCCCAAAGTGCTGGGATTACAGGTGTGAGCCACTGTGCCCAGCTGTTTTGTTCATTTTGAAATTTAGGTTGTCTTTTTTTTTTTTTTTTTTTGAGATGGAGTCTTGCTCTATTGCCCAGGCTGGAGTTCAGTGGCACGATCTCGGCTCCCTGCAAACTCTGCTTCTGGGTTCAAGCAATTCTCCTGCCTCAGCCTCCTGAGTAGCTGGGGCTACGGGCATGTGCCACCACGCCTGGCTAATTTTTGTATTTTTAGTAGAGACGGGGTTTTGCTGTATTGTCCAGTCTGGTCTCAAACTCCTGACCTCAGGTGATCCACCCGCCATGGCCTCCCAAAGTGCTGGGATTACAGGCATGAGCCACCATGCCTGGCCCATTTTTTGTTGACTTGTAAGAGTTTTTCTATATGTATTCTGGATACTTATCAAATATATAGCTTATCTGGATCTTATCAAATATATAGCTTGTGAATATTTTTCCCATTCTTTGGATTGTCTCTTTACTTTCTTAATATTATCCTTTGATGCAAAAAAATGTTTTTAATTCTGATGCAGCCCAATTTTTCTATTTTTTTTTTTTTGGTGACTTGTATTTTTGGGATCTTATCTAAGAAACTGTTGCCTAGTCCAAGGTCACTGTAGAGGGTTCTCCAGAGAAACAGAACCAACAGATGAATTGATAGATAGAGATTTATTATGAGGACCTGGCTCACGTGATTATGGAGGTAGAGAAGTATCACCATGTGCTGTCTGTAAGCTGGAGATGCAGGAAAGTCTGAGTTCAAAGACCTGAGAACTGGGAGAGCTGACGACGTAAGTCTTAGTCCAAGGGCAGGTGAAGACTGATGTCCCAGCTGAAACATCAGGTAGAAGGGACAAGTTCTCCCATCCTCCACTTTTTGTTCTGTTCAGGCCCAGTTTTATTTTTCAAGACTGTTTTGGCTATTCTGGGTTCCTTGCATTTTTGTATAAATTTTAGGATCAGCTTGTCCATTTATGCCAAAAAAAAAAAAAAGGGCTGTTGAAGTTTTGGTAGAGATTGCAATGAAGCTGTAGATTGCTTTGGGGAGTATTGCCATCTTAATATTACATCTTCCAACACATGAACATGAGATGACTTTTCATTTACTTATATCTTCTTTAGTTTCTTTTAACAATATTTTGTGGTTTTCAGCATATAAGTTTGCACTTCCATTTTAGTTTATCCCTACATATGTTACTCTTTTTGATGCTATCATACCTGGAACTGTTCTCCTAATTTGAATTTTGGATTATTGCTACAACTGGTTTTTGTATATTGGTCTTGTATCCTGCAATTTTGCTGAAGTAGTTTATTAACTCTAATAGCTTTTCTGCATAAACTATTTAGGCTTTTCTATATCTAAGATCCTATTATTTGCAAATAGTTTTTCTCCTTTTCCAATCTAAATACTTTTGATTTCTTTTTTTGTCTAATCGCTCTTCCATTATCTTTTTCCCCTAACTTTACAATTGGTTCATTGGGATATTAAATGCATTTTTGAGTTATGATGGGTTGATCAGCACATAACACCATCGAAAATCCAGGAGTAGCTATATAAGGCAAAAAAGGTGTAACTAATGAAAGGATACTGAATGACTTGAAAGAAACCAGTAGATGTTTACAATTGACGGGGAACCATGGGAGAGAGACTCTGGTACATAACAACAGTGAAATCGTACTGAGAACTCTGAAGGATTTGACATGGAAACATAGGAAACATACAAGAAGTAAGAAAGGGAAGGAGGGAAGAAAGTAAAAGAAGGAAAGGGGGAGGAGTAAGGAAGGGAGGAAGGGGAAGACGCTTGGTGGTACTAAAAGCAGAAACTTAATCAGTTTCTGAAATTTAAACATTTGAAATAGGAGATAAAAAGGGAAATTTTGGCATATTTCAACTATAGTGTGGACTTGAATGTCGAATAGAAGAAATATCTCAAAACAGAGCAAAAACGCAAAGATCATGACTAGGAATATGAGTCCTGAAGGAGAGTTCTTGGAGAACTAAATGTGAAACATAAATATCAATTATCAATATCAATATCAATAAAAACAAAAACCACATGACAATCTCAATCGACACGAAAAGTGCATTTGAAAAAATACAGCCCACTTCATAATACGAATGCTTAAAAAACTGTAAACAGAGGGGAGCTTCCTTAACCTGATAAAGAACAGCTACACACACACAAAAAAAAACCTACAAAAGACCAATGTTTAATGGCAAAATACTGAATGTCCCCTTCACGTCATGAATAAGAAAGACAAAGATGTCCACTTTTGCTACTTCTATTCAAGATTGTACCAGAGTTTCTAGCCAGGGAAATTAGGCAATAAAAGGCATCTAGATTAGAAAGGAAGAAGAAAAACAATCTCTATTCCCTGCAGACATTATCCTACATATAGAATATCTTAAGGAAACCATTAAAACAACTATTAGAACTAAGAAATGCGTCCAGCAAGGTTTCAGGATACAAGATCAATATACAAATATGAATTAAATTTCCACACAATAACAATGAACAGTCTGAAAATGAAATTTAACAATTCCATTTACAATAGCATCAAAAAGAATAAAATACTTGCAATAAGCCTGACCAAAAAATACAAAACGTATACCTTGAAAACTACAAAATATTGTTGAAATTATAGATGGCATAAATAAATGGAAAGACAAAAAACGTTCGTGGATGGAAAGACTTCATATTGCTGGGATGGTAATAATTCCCAAAGTGTTCTACACATTCTGATAGTGACAGGAGGCAGCCAAATGCCCAGGCAGATAGGGGCGAGTCCCCGGTGAAACCCCACCCCCAAGCTGAAGGCAGTTTAAAGCTTGAAAGCCAAGCTACAAGTTAAATCTTCGGACTGGATTGAGAACCTGTCTTCCCATTTGTCATGCTTTCTCCTCTGATTGATCCCCACCCTTCATCTATTTTACGTATACCTAATCTTTCCTAATTGATTTTCTACACTGTCATGTCCACCTTTGAGTGGTGTCTTTGCTTTAACCTTTTTCGCATACTCACAAACCAATCAGCAAACATTTCCCATTCTGAATTCATAAAAAGCCCAGGGCCCAGCCACGCTGAGAGAAGAAAACCACCCGACTGCGGAGGTGGGGGACCCCCTTACCCACCCTTCCGCATCGCCTCTCCACTGAGAGCTATTCCACTGCTCGATAAAATTCTCCGCCTATCCTTACCCTTCAACTGTCAGTGTATCCTCATTCTTCTTGGACACAGGACAAAAACTCAGGAGCCACCAAGCTGTAACACAGGTGGGCTGGGGCACCACCAGTGGCAGTCCCGGGGCTGAGCAAGGTCCGGGGTTGGGGGGGTGTCGCCGGCCAGAGGTCCCGACTGGCAAAGTAACTGAGATAATTCCTGTGTCAATTCCACATACTTCCCATCAAAAGCCTAGTTGGCGAGTTCGCAGAAATTGGTAAGCTGATCCTAAAATTCATACAGAAAATGCCAAGGACCCAGAATAACTAAAACAATCTTCAAAGAAATAAACAGAATTAGAAGACTCTTCCCTATGTTAAAGCATCCTGCAAGATAACAATAATCATGACCATATGGTACTGGGATACAGACATAGAGATATAGATGAAGGGAATAAACAGAGCCCAGAAGTAAGCCATTACATTTGCAGTCCATTGATTTTCAGAGTGTGCTGAGAAAACTAATTGTGGGTAGGAACCCTTTTTTTTTTTTTTTTTGAGATGCAGTCTCACTCTCTTGCCCAGGATGGAGTGCAGTGGTGTGATCTCAGCTCACTACAACCTCTGCCTCCCGAGTTCAAGTGATTCTCCTGCCTCAGCCTCCCGAGTAGCTGGGATTACAGGTGGGCACCACCATGCCTGGCTGATTTTTGTATTTTTGGTAGAGACGGGGTTTGACCATGTTGGCCAGGCTGATCTCAAACTCCTGACCTCTCAGGTGATCCACCCGCCTTGGCCTCCCAAAATGCTGGGATTACAGGCATGAGCCACCGTGGCTGGCCAGGAATCCTCTTCTTATCAAATGGTGCTGGCACAATAGGATACCCTCATACAAAAGAATAATGTTGGATACCTTTCTCAGACCACACACAAAAATTAACTCCAAGGTGACTATGGATCTAAATTTAAGAGCTAAAAAGATAAAATCTGGCCGGGTGCAGTGGCTCACGCCTGTAACCCCAGCACTTTGAGAGACTGAGGCAGGCGGATTACCTGAGGTCAGGAGTTCCAGACCAGGCCTGGCCAACATGGTGAAATCCTGTCTCTATTAAAAAAAAATACAAACATTAGCCGGGCGTGGTGGCACGTGCCTGTAATCTCATCTACTCAGAAGGCTGAGGCAGGAGAACTGCTTAAACCCTGGAGGCAGAGGCTGCAGTGAGCCGAGATTGTGCCATTGCACTCCAGCCTGGGCAACAGAGCGAAACTCTGTCTCAAAAGAAAAATAAAAAAATAAAGATAAAATCTTAAAAAATAAAAAATAATAAAACAAAAAAAGATAAAATCTTAGAAGAAAATATCACTGCAGGTGAGATGAAGGCTTTTAAGATGTGGCATCAAAACCACAAGCGACAAAAGAAAATACAATAATTGTACTTCATAAAAAGCAAAACCTTTTGTGATTCAAATGTGAAAAGACAACCACAAAATGGGATAAAATATTTGCAATCATATACCTGATAGGGAACTTGCATTTAGATTACAAAAAGAATTCTCACTACTCAATAAAAAGAAGAAAAATAATCCAATTTTTAAATAGGCAAAGGATTGCAGTAGATATTTCTCCAAAGAAGATACACAAATAGACAAGAAACACATGAAATGATTCTCTGCATCCTCAGTCCTTAGGGAAATGCAAGTCAAAACAACAATGGTGACACTTCACACTCACCAGAATGGCCAGAACGGAAAAGCAGATAATGACAAATGCTGATGAGGATGCAAAGAAGCTGAAACATTCCTGCATTGCTGGTGGGACTGTCAAATGCTACAGCCATGTTGGAAAATAATCTGGGAGTTCCTCAACATGTTTTTGTCACATAAGTCTTCATATGACCCAGGAGTTCCACTCCTGGGTATAAAGATGTCCACACCAAATAGTGTACAGCAGTGTTCATAGCAGCATTATTCACAAAAGCAAAAAAGTAGAAACAACCTAATGCCCATCAACTCATTAGCATCCCCAGGAGCATATTCATGCAATCGAGTATCACTTGGCCATAAAATGAATGAAACTGTGGGTAATTCTACAATGTGGATGAACCTTGAAAACATTATGCTAAGTAAAAAGACAGTTGCACAGGCTCACATATTGTGTTATTCTGTTCATAGGAAATACCCAGAATAGGCAAATCTATAGAGATAGGGGAGAGCTCTCTATGGAGCCGTTACCTAGGGCAGAGGTTGTTGTTGGGGGTGGGGCTTGGAGACAGTGTGAGGAATGACTAATGTTTATAGGGTTCCTTGGGGGAGGGGTGATATAATGTTATAAAACTGATTAAAATCGGCTGTGCGCAATTATGAATATACTAAAAGCCATTCAATCCATCACCTTAAATGGGTGAATCTTATCTAGGGCATCCATTTTGAGACTGGGGCAGATGTAGTGAAAAAGGGAAAAAAATGAGTAAATGTTTGAAATGGAGACAGAAACAAAGAGAATGAGACGTCCTGTGAATGGAAGAAACAGAGAGAAGGGAACATGGTCATATTTACAAATCAGAGATCTGAAAATGGAGGCTCACACCAATAGTGTCACTGACAGACAGGAGGGTCACCCGCAGGGCTGCAGACAGACTGGGGTTCACACTGCCATGGGCGCTGGCAGCCACATCGGCAGGCAGGAGGGTCCAGATGCCCAGCTGAGGGGTAATGATAACCTGGGTGGTGATGTCGGCCATTAGAGGGGCCTCTTCTGCTGGCAAGTGTGTGACAGTAGCAAGAAGGACAGGCCTGCGTGGAACGCAGGAGGGGCTCTTCTGTGGCTGGATGTGGGACCCTGACCAGGAATGTGGGGAAATGGACAGGTAAGCGGATCATGCTGGCCAGTAGATTGGCCAGCACTATAAGCTGAAGGACAATAATGGGGAGTGGCTGTGAGGCCCTGGGAGTGTCTGAGTGTGAACGGAGATGGGTGCGGGCCACTGGGGAATATGTGGGGGCCACTGCAGTGTAGACGGAGGTTGTGGGAGAATAAACTGGTGAGGTCTGTGAGTTTCTAGGGGTCTCCTAGGTGCCTGGGGCTGGCTCCTGCAGAAAACTGAAGATGGTTGGACCAGAGCTGGGAGACACAGGAGTCCCTAAGGAATGGGGGTGAAGAGGTGAGAGAGATGGGGGAGGATCTCAGGGAGGTCTGTGGGTTTTTAGGTGATTCCTGGGTGTGGGGGGGTTCGGAATCTGGGGATGGTTGGAGAGGAGCTGGGAGACATGGGAGAGTCCCTGAGGGCTGGGAGTGGAGACAGGGGGGAGGATTCCAGGAAGGCCTGTGAGTTTCTAGGGGTCTCCTGGGTGTTAGGGGCTGCCCCCAGGAGAAATATGGGGATGGCTGGAGAGGAGCTGGGAGGCACTGGAGAGTCCCAAAGGGCTGCAGGAGAAGAGATGAGAGACAGCGTGGAGGAGGGCACTCAGATTTGCGTCTGTAGGTGATTCTTGAGTGTTGGGGGGCAACAGTCAGTTGGAGACATCTGGGGATGATTAGAAAGTAACTAGGAGACATGGGAGAGTCCCTGAGGGCTGGAGCTGAAGGGGTGGGAGTCATAGGGGAGGATCCCAGTGAGGTCTGTTAGTTTCTACGTAATTCCTGGGTGTGACGGGCTGACTGTGTCAGAAATTCACAGTGGTTTGGGGAGTAGCTGGGAGAGACAGGAGAGTCCCTGAGGGCTGGGGGTGAGCTGTGGGGCAATGGCAGTAAGAACACGTGGTATATTACTGATGCACATGGTGACTCTGAAGAAGCTCCAGGGAAGGGCAGAGCCCAGTGGCTTCTGTGATTGTCCCTCATGGTTAGGAAAGGGAAATGGGATATTGTGGGATTTTGGTAAAGACGGAAGTGAGTGTGGTGAAGCCTTAGGTGATGATGAAAAGTACCCCGGGGTCCTGGTGAGGAGCCCCCTCCTGGGTCTGAGTTTCTGAGAGGGGAGAAGGAGAAGCTGGGTGAGGCTGGCATGGATCTTGAGGCCAGGCTGGGGTACTGCTCACAGGAGGAGCCAGGTGAGACCCCACTGTTCTTAGATGCAGACATGATTAGAAACCTGCACTCCCAGGGTCCCTTACTCCTTTTTTGACCCCTAATATGAAGGGTAGAGTGAGTGTGTGTGTGTGGTGAGAAGTATGTGCTCCTTAAGAAAGTGGGAATAAACAAATGAGACAGACAGAGATTCACTTACCCAAGTGTTCTGTCCTGTCCTCTGAATCCGCTCCCAGGTCATAGGATGCGGTGAGCTCCCGGGTGCACCCAGAACCAGCAGCACGCTCTAACCACTGCTGTCCCCTGCAAGGATCTGAGCACCAGCAGGCCAGGGTGGGCTTAAGTAGCCGTGGGCAGGGCCTGACAGCGGAAAGGGTGGAGCTTTATGCATTTTTCCCTGAGTCTCACCCAGCTTTCCCAGGCTCCACTGCATAGGAAGATGCTCTCCTGATTTGCTTTCATGTGAAACATTTGGGACAGTCTAAAAACTTAGAACTTTTGTTGGCCAAATATATGATGAATCAATAGCACTTAACTCTGAAAACCGTCTAGCTGTGTGGTTCTCACATTGTGGCCCTGAGACCAGCAGCATCCTTGTAACCCTCAAACCCGGAGATCTGCAGATCTGTGTTGTAAGAAGCCTTGCCCCTGCCCCTGATGCATGGCAGTTTAAGAACCACGTGTGTTCGCCAAAAGACCTTTAAGAAAAAGTGGGGATGTCTTTTGTTTAAATATTATTCTACTCTGGAGTCATCTGGAGAAATCAGGGTCAGGTGGGGAGAGCATTGATTGGAGGAGGGTGATTCTGAATAATTTTATTAATCAGACTGAGACTGGCAATGCTCAGGTGTGACAAATACCAGATTTTACGTAAATATTTACATCAGAACTTAATCTTTTCTACCCTCGTTTGCCTGGTGGCCTCATTAAGGGTCAACAGCTTTCTTTTCCCAGACTTGATGTCTCATTCCAAGGACTTTAAGAGACAAGGAGGGTGAGGGGAGGGATTTCTGACACTGTTTCATTCTTTGTTGCTTTGTGAAGAAAAGAACATTTGTTTTATACGTATGTTACATTCTCCTTTCATTACTATTCTTCCTTTTTTCCAAGCCTTCTGAGATAACTTATGACTTTAATTCATCTTCTCTTTTTCTAAATGATTTACATCTGAAATAAATTTTGGTGACGTATTATACCACTCTCACTCTATTCTAAATTTGAAGGATATTCTCATTTCCTTCAATGGACCCACTAGCTATTTTAAGAACTTTACTTATGTTTCAAGTCCAGCTGCTGATGAATCATGAATATTTTGTTCAGATGTTGGTAATATTCCTTTTTTTTTTTTTTTTTTTTAAAGACAGAGTCTCACTCTGTTGCCCAGGCTGAAGTGCAGTGGCACAATCTCGGCTCACTGCAACCTCTGCCTCCCGGGTTCAAGTGATTCTCCTGCCTCAGCCTCCCAAGTAGCTGGGACTATAGGCACCCGCCACCATACCTGGCTAATTGTTTTGCATTTTTAGTAGAGATGGGGTTTCACCATGTTGGCCAGGCTGGTCTCAAACTCCTGACCTCTAGTGATCCACCTCCCTTGGCCTCCCAAAGTGCTGGGATTACAGGTGCGAGCCACTGTGTCTGGCCAATGTTGGTAATATTCTTTGCTGATTAGTAGATGATTAATTTTACATTACATCAATAGGCATTTATGAGGGACATTCATGGCTTTTGTACAACACTGAAATTGTCATTAAACCAGCAAATCTAACATTCAACCATGTCATTTCTTCCTTTACATGACTTGTATAAGTAAGATGTCAGCTTAAATTTGAGCATATTTTACTCTTTAGTGGTGCAAAACAAGTCTGACGCATTCAGAACTTCGTTGAACTGCCTGGGAAAAAGTCTCGTGTGTGCAGTCTTTGACCCCACTGGGCTACATAAGACTGGACCTGGAGCCCGGAATACTTCCGTTCCAAGTGACACTTTCCCTGTTTCAGACTCATTGTTCCTTTATTTAGCTTCAGAGTGCGCATCAACTACTCCCAGGTGTACCCCCAGTGTTCAGTATTTCACACTATACTGACAGAAGTCAGGGTCCTTCTGGAGCTGCTGCAGGAGAGGGGTATGAGCAGCCAAATTGCCCTCTGTCCTGGAATGGTGTTAGGGTTGGCTGCTAGCCATGGGGGACTGACGGACACCACTGAAACTAATATTCCACTTCCACTGTCTCCTCTCTCTGCAGGTAGGTAAAGCCTTGTTCCATCCAGTGCTTGTCTGCATTATGTTCACTTGGGTGAATGCTATACCAAGATGCAATGGATAGATGCATTTAGAGTCGTCCTCTGGGATTGGTAATTACTACACCTTGTGCTGCTCCCTTGGGATTGAGAACCATGCACATCTCTACAGTGCAAGAGAAATGTCTCAAAGCTCATGACTCTTGTATTTTCCAGTACTGGTAACAATGTTTTTATCATTCATTACTTTGAATATTTTATTGTAACTTTCAAAGGAGGAGTGGTCATTTAAATGCTTGGACTTAATGGGATTAAAATCATGGAGTATATCCATGACTTATGAAAAAGCAGTCCTGTGGCGGGGCATGGTGGCTCACACCTGTAATTTCAGCACTTTGAGAGTTGGAGATGGGAGGATCTCTTCAGCCCAGAAGTTTGAGACCAGGCTGGGCAACATGGCCTAAATCCTAGGAATCTTCAAAGTGATGTCTTTTTTTGGATGCATGCTAATGAGCTGACTGGTGGCTGGAGGCCCCTAGGTAGCTCCAGGTTGGGGCTGCTCATAGGAAAGAAGAAGGCAACATTAGAGGGGTGAGATTTTCAGCTCCAAACCCAATTTCCATGGAGGGGAGAGAAGCTGAAGCTTGAGTTGATCACCAATAGCCTGTAGTTTAATCCATCATGCCTATGTAATGAAGCCTTCATAAAAACCCCAAAAGGACTGGATTTAGAGACCTTCTGGTTAGAACTTCCTGGAAGGTAGTGCTTGGCTCCCTCCATACCTGGCCCTATGCATCTCTTTATCTGTACTTTTTGCAATATCCTTCATAATAAACTGATAAATATAAGTGTTTTTCTGAGTGCTGTGAGCTGCTCTAGGCAGATTAATTGAATTCAAAGAGGGGGTGGTGGAAACCTGATTTATAGCCAGTCTGTCAGAAGCACAGATAAAACAAACTGGGGCTTGCCATTGTCATTAGAATTGGAGGCCAGTCCTGTGGGCCTGTGGGATCTGATGCTATGTCCAGGTAGATAGCGTTCCAGTTGAATTGGAGGACACCCAGATGGTGTCCACAGCAGAATTGATTGTATGCTTGTTTGATGGAGAGAAATCCCCACATGTGTGGTCATAGAGTCTTCTGTGTTGATTACTGTGTTGTGAGAGCAGAGGAAAAAGTTTTTGTTTTTTTTCCACCCAGCCTATAATGTAAAAGGGTCTATTTTCTCACATATTGAGGATCACTGGACTTATAATAAAAATGTATCATCTTTGTCAACTTGATATGTAAAAAGGATGTTGGTTTTAATTTCTTTTATTTTTTTTTCCTTTCTTGCTTTTTTTTTTTTTTTTTTGAGACAGAGTCGCGCTCTATTCCCCAGGCTGGAGTGCAGTGGCACGATCTCAGCTCACTGCAACCTCTGCCTCCTGGGTTCGAGCGATTCTCCTGCCTCAGTTTCCCGAGTAGCTGGGATTACAGGCGCATGCCACCACGCCTGGCTAATTTTTGTATTTTTAGTAGAGATGGGGTTTCGCCATGTTGGCCAGGCTGGTTTTGAACTCTTGACCTCAGGTGATCCACTCGCCTCGATCTCCCAAACTTCTGGGATTACAGGCATGAGCCATTGCGCCCACCCGGTTGTAATTTCATTGCTAACAATAAAGGTGGTCATAGTTGATAACTTTTTGTCATTTCTCTGTTCACAGCCTTCTCAAATATTTCACTCATTTTTCGATTTCTAAATTTTTTTTTTTTTTGAGACAGAGTTTTGCTCTTGTTGCCCAGGCTGGAGTGCAATGGCGTGATCTCGGCTCACTGCAACCTCTGCGTCCTGGGTCAAGCAATTCTCCTGCCTCAGCTTCCGGAGTAGCTGGGATTACAGGCATGCACCACTACACCCGGCTAATTTTGTATTTTTAGTAGAGACAGGGTTTCTCCATGCTGGTCAGGATGGCCTTGAACTCCTGACCTCAGGTGATCCGCCCGCCTCGGCCTCCCAAAGTGCTGGGATTACAGGCAAGAGCCACCTCACCTGGCCTAAATTTTTAATTAAAAACGTTTTTTTAGAGACAAGGTCTCTGTGCCACCCAGGCTGAAGTGCAGTGGCACAGTCATAGGTTACCGAAGCCTCCAATTTCTGGGCTCAAGCAATCCTCCTGCATTGGCCTCTTGAGTAGTTGGGACCACAGGTGCACATCACCACGCCTGGCTGTTCACCCATTTTTCAGTCGTTCATTTGTCCCCCTTCATTGTTTTGTGACCATCCCTTCTTAAGGAAATTAGCTACTATCTGTCATATGTATTGAGGATAATTTCCCCCAGTCATTTGCCATATGTCTTAATTTTAATATGCTATCAAATTCATAGTCTTCACTTTATGGCACCTGGGTTGAGAACCATTATTTGAACCAAAAATTGGTCTGTCACTTTTTTGGTTTGAGCCTTTATTTTGCCAATAGTGTTTTATAATGTCTGCATATTTCTAGGACTTTCTCATTTTGCTAATGTAAATTTTATATATATATATATATATTTAAGATAATATTTGCTTATTTTTAAGGAAAATGTTAAAATGCAAGCCCCTATTCCTACAGCAACCTCCTCTCCCTTGTTAATTCCATTTCTCTCCCAAAATAACCACCTTTAACAATTTTGCCTTTGTTATTTCATATTGGTTTCTATATATTTACATACATATTTATGTAAGGTTAGAAAAAGAGTTTGGGAGTTCGTGTGTTTGTTTTTACTTAAGTGGTACCATATTGACTATATATCCTGCACATATTTTTGTTGTTTTTTACATTGTCTTGGAGATCTTTCCATGTTTATACATATAAATTACCTTTTTCTTTTTCATTGCTCACAGCATTCCATGCTATGGGTGTATCAGGTTAATAAACTGCTATTGGTGAACATCTACTTTTTTCTCTTAATAATTCTGCAGTGAACAGCTTTTGTACGTACTCTTATAAATGCGTATTTCTGTAGGATCATTCCCTAGAAATGGCAAACTCAAAAATTTAAGAGAAAGCTGCCAGATTTTCTTTTCAAAGGCTGAACCAATTTATGTTCTAACCAAGAGTAGACAACATAATCCATTTCCTCAAGCATACAGATTGAGACAGAGTCTCAATCTGTTATCCAGGCTGTAGTGCAGTGGTATAATCAGAGCTCACTGCAGCCTGGAACTCCTGGTCTCAAGTCATCCTCCTACCTCAGCCTCCCGGGTAGCTGGGAATGCACCCCTGTGCCTGGCTCATTTCTTTTTTTTATACATGGGGACTTGCTATGTTGCCCAGTCTGGTCTCAAACTCCTGGGCTCAGGTGATCCTCCTGCCATGGCCTTCCAAAATTCTGGGATTACAGGTAGGAGCCACCACGCCCTGCCTGGTCATCTTCTAATAAGCTTATTCCTTTGTATTTCCCTTGCTATTTACTCCTTGTTTGTTTTTTTGTGTTTAGGTATTCATCTTATGTATGAACTCTTTTTGTATATTTTTCGAAGTTTAATATTTTTCTTCTGTTATATGTATTAACAACAAAGTTACTTCCAACCTGTTGATCAACTTTTAACTTTCACGGTCATTTGTTTTAGAAAGTTTTTTTTTTTTTTTTTGAGACAGTCTCACTTTGCCCAGCCTGGAGTGTGGTAGTGTGATCTCTGTTCACTGCAACCTCTGTGTCTTGGGTTCAAGTGATTCTCCTGCCTCAGCCTCCCAAGTAGCTGGGATTACAAGCACCCGCCACCACGCCCGACTAACTTTTGTATTTTTAGTAGAGACGGGGTTTCACCATGTTGGCTAAGTTGGTCTTGAACTTCTGACCTCTGGTGATCTGCCTGCCTCAGCCTCCTAAAGTGCTGGGATTATAGGCATGAGCCACTGGGCTCAGCCTAGAAAGTAATATTTATTAATAAGGCGAGTTATATTGCTAAATGTGGTAATGATAAATTTTCCATGTGTTACTGTTGTACTATAATAATTTTAATATATTGATGGCTTTTGTATGCTACTTTTTACAAATATTTGCAGTTTTATTCATAGGGACATTTACTTATTGATTTTTTTGCATTTTTGAGCTTTTCTTAATTGTTCTGTTACAGTATAATTTGATTATCAGGGTTATACTAGGATTTGTGGTAGTAAGATAATGAATTTAGAAGCTTCCCAACATGTTCTGCTCTGTGGAACAGTTTATAATAATAATAGGCTCATTAAAGCTTTGGTATAATTCTCCCTTAGAGCATTCAGAACATATCACCTATTTGGGGATTAACCTTAAACTTCTGAGGTTATTGTTTTCTTTAGTATTTATACTACTTGTCAAATATATTTTGTTCTTTCTATATTTCTTGAAAATTATATTTTCCATTTCATTCACTTCTGTTTTTTTTCTGTAGTATCTGCTCTCTGCTTGCTCTGGCTTTTTTTGCTGTTTTTATCTGAGTCATAGACAGTTCAGTGTTAACAGCATGGGCTGTGGAAGCTTCCTCTCAGTTTGTTGTACCAGTGTGTTTAGTAGACACTGAGCCTCAGTGCCCTCATCAGTAAAATGACAATATAATCATGCCTGTATTGTAGTGTGGCATGAGAATTAAATGAAGTAATACACATGAAACACTGAGAACATACGAACCCTCAATGCATGTTAGCTACCATTGTTATTACCACTTTCTTGTAGTGGAAGATGAGTTAATTTATTTTCACTCTTGTTTTTCATGAAATCAATGTTACAAGTTTTCCTTTGAGTATGACTTTAAACTATTTCCTACTGTCTTGAATATGTACTGCCTTTGTTTATTTTCAAGTAGTATGTGATTATTATTATTATTATTATTTTTTCTGAGACAAAGTCTTGCTCTGTCGCCCAGGCTGGAGTGCAGTGGTGCAATCTCAGCTCACTGCAGCCTCCACCTCCTGGGTTCAAGCGATTCTTCTGCCTCAGCCTCCCCAGTAGCTGGGATTACAGGCGCACACCACCATGCCCAACTAATTTTTGTATTTTTAGTAGGGATGGGGTTTCACCATGTTGGCCAGGCTAGTCTCGGACTCCTGACCTCAGGCAATTGTTTTGATTTTTAGATTCCCACAAATAAGTGAGAATATGAGATGTTTGTCTTTCAGTGCCTGGCTTATTTCAATAGCATAATGACCTCCATTTCCATTCATGTTGTTGCAAATGACAGGATCTCATTTTTTTTCTTTTTTTTACAGCTGAGTAGTACTCCATGTGTACATGTACCACATTTTCTTTATCCATTCATTTGTTGATGGACACTTAGGATGCTTCCAAATCTTGGCTATTGTGAACAGTGCTGCAACAAACATGGGAGTGCAGAAATCTCTTTGATATACTGATTTCCTTTCTTTTGGGTATATACCCAGCAGTGAGATTGCTGGATCATATGGTAGCTCTCTCTTTAGCTTTTTGAGGGACCTCCAAACTGTTCTCCATAGTAGTTTTACTAATTTACATTCCCACCAACAGTGTATGAAGGTTCCCTTTTCTCCACATACTCACCAGTATTTGTTATTGCCTGTCTTTTGGATAAAAGCCATTTTAAATAGGGTGAAATGATATCTCATTGTGGTTTTGATTTGCATGTCTCTGTTCTCTGATGATCAGTGATGTTGAGCACCTTTTGATATGCCTGTTTGCCATTTGTTTGTAGGTTTTTTTTTTTTTTTTTTTTTTTTTTTTTTTAAAGACAGAGTCTCACTCTGTTACCCAGGCTGGAGTACACTAGCATAATCTTGGCTCACTGCAATCTCCACTTCTCAGGCTCAAGCAGTCCTCCCACCTCAGCTCCCTGAGTAGCTGGGACTATAGGCACATGCCATCATGCCTGGCAAATTTTTGTATTTTTTGTAGAGACAGGGTTTCTCCATGTTGCCCAGGCTGGCCTTGAACTCCTGGGCTCAAGTGATCCTCCCACCTCGGCCTCCCAAAGTGTTGGGATTACAGGCATGAGCCACTGCGCCAGAACTTGTATGTCTTCTTTTGAGAAATGGCTATTTCAAATATTTGGGCCATTTTAAATTGGATTATTAGATTTTTTTCCTATAGAGTTGTTTGAGCTCCTTATATATTCTGGTTATTAATCTCCTGTCAGATGGGCAGTCTGCAAATATTTTCTCCCATACTGTGGGGTTGTCTCTTCACTTTGTTGATAGTTTCCTTTGCTGTGCAGAAGCTTTTTAACTTGATGTGATCCTATTTTTCCATTTTTGCTTTGGTTGCCTGTGCTTGTGGAGAAATTTTTGCCCAGACCAAAGTCCTGGAGAGTTTCTCTTCTGTCTTCTTGTAGTAGTTTCATAGTTTGAGTTTTTAGATTTAAGTCTTGAATCCATTTTTATTTGTTTTTTTTTAAATATGGTGAGAGATAGAGGTCTACTTTCATTCTTCTGCATATGGATACTTGTTTTCCCAGCACCATTTATTGAAGAAGCTGTCTTTTCCTCAGTGTATGTTCTTGGCTCCTTTGTTAAAAATAAGTTCACTGTACATGTGTGAATTTGTTTCTGGGTTTTGTATTCAATTCCGTTGGCCTATGTGAATGTTTTTATGCTAGTACCATGTTGTTTTGGTTATTATAGCTCTGTAGTATCATTTGAAGTCAGGTAATGTGATTCCTCCAGTTTTGTTCTTTTTGCTTAGGATAGCCTTGGCTATTCTGAGTCTTTTGTGGTTCCATATAAACTGTAGGGTTCTTTTTTTCTATTTCTTTGAAGAATGTCATTGGTATTTTGATAGGGATTGCATTGAATCTGTGGATTGCTTTGGGCAGTATGGATATTTTAACAATATTGATCCTTCCAATTCATGAACATGGAATATTTTTTCATTTTTTTTGGTATCCTCTTCAATTTCTTTCATCATTTTATAGTTTTCATTATAGCGATCTTTTATTACTTTGGTTAATTCCTAGGTATTTAATTTTATTTGTGACTATTTTAAGTTGATTACTTTTAAAATTTCTTTTTTAGATTGTTCACTGTTGGCAGGTAGAAATGCTACTGATTTTGTATACTGATTTCGTATCCTGCAAATTTACTAAATTTATCAGTTCTAATAGTTTTTTTGTGGAGTCTTTAGGTTTTTCCAAATATAAGATCATATCATCTGCAAACAAAGATAATTTGACTTTTTCCTTTCTGATTTGGATGCCCTTTATTTCTTTCTCTTTTCTGATTGTTCTAGCTAGGACTTCCAGTACTATCTTGAATAACAATGGTAAAAGTGACATCCTTGTCATGTTCCAGGTCTTAGAGGAAAGGCTTTTAGTTTTTCCCCATGCAATACGATACTAGCTGTGGGTCTGTTTCTCATCAATTGAAATGATCATATGGTTTTCTTTTTTTTTTTCTTTTTCTTTCTTTTTTTTTTGAGACAGAGTCTTGCTCTGTCACCCAGGCGGGAGTGCAGTGGCATGATCTCGGCTCACTGCAAACTCCACCTCCCAGGTTCATACCATTCTCCTGCCTCAGCCTCCCGAGTAGCTGGGACTACAGGCACCCGCCACCATGCCTGGCTAATTTTTTGTATTTTTAGTAGAGACGGGGTTTCACCGTGTTAGCCAGGAAGGTCTTGATCTCCTGACCTTGTGATCTGCCTGCCTTGGCCTCCCAAAGTGCTGGGATTACAGGCGTGAGCCACCACGCCCGGCCAGTTTTCTTTTTTTTTTAATCATATGGTTTTCATTTTGCAGTCTGTTGATATGATGTATCATATTGATTGATTTGTGTATGTTGAACCATCCTTGCATCCCAGAGATAAATCCCATTGGTCATGATAAATGATCTTTCTAATGTATTGTTGAATTCAGTTTGCTTGTATTTTGTTGAGGATTTTTGCGTCAATATTCATCAGAGATATTGGCCTGTAGTTTTCTTTTTCTTTCTTCCTTTCTTTCTTTCTTTCTTTCTTTCTTTCTTTCTTTCTTTCTTTCTTTCTTTCTTTCTTTCTTTCTTTATGTGTCTTTATCTGGTTTTGGTATCAGGGTAATACTGGCCTTGTAGAGTGAGTTTGGAAGGATTCCTTCCTCCTCTATTTTTCCGAATAGTTTGAGTAGGGTTGGTATTAGTTCTTTAAATGTTTGGTAGAATTCAGCAGTGAAGCCATTGGGTTCTGGGCTTTTCTTTTTCTTTTCTTTTCTTTTTTTTTTTTTTGTTTTTTTTTTTTTGAGACAGAGTCTCACTCTGTCACCTAGGCTGGAGTGCAGTGGTGCAATCTCAGCTCACTGCAACCTCCATCTCTTGGGTTCAAGCAATTCTCCTGCTTTAGCCTCCTAAGTAGCTGGGACTGCAGGTGTGTGCCACCACTCCCAGCTAATTTTTGTATTTTTAGTGGAGATGGGGTTTCACTATGTTGACCAGGCTGGTCTTGAACTCCTGATCTCAGGTGATCTGCCTGCCTCAGCCTCCCAAAGTGCCAGACTTTTCTTTGGTGGGAGACTTTTTTTATGGCTTTGATCTTGTTATTTGTTACTGGTCTGTTCAGATTGTGGTTTCCTTCGTGGTTCAGTCTTGGTAGGTTGTATGTGTCTACGAATTTGTCCATTTCTTCTAGATTTTCCAATTTATTGGGATATAGTTGCTCATAGTAGCTACTAATGATCCTTTGAATTTCTGTGGTATCAGCTGTTAATGTATCCTTTTTCAACTATGATTTTATTTATTTGGATCTTCTCTCTTTTTTTCTTAGTCTGGCTAAAGGTTTGCCAATTTTGTTTAACTTCCCAAAAAGCCAACTTTTTGTTTCATTGATCTTTGTATTGTTTTCTTCATTTCAATTTCATTTATTTATTCTCTGATTTTTATTATTTCTTTTCTTCTACTAATTTTGGGTTCAGTTTGCTCTTGCTTTTCTAATTTTTTAGGATGTATCATTTGATTGTTTCTTTGAAGTTTTTCTTCTTTTTTGATATAGGCGCTTATAGCTATCAACTTTCCTGTTAGTCCTGCTTTTATAGTACTAAGATTTTGGTATGCTGTGTTTTGGTTATGATTTGTTGCCAGAAATTTTTCAATTTCTTTGTTAATTTCTTCATTGACTTACTGGTCATTCAGGAGCGTATTGTTTAATTTCCATGTATTTGTATAGTTTCCAAAATTCTTCTTGTCATTAGTTTCTAATTTTATTCCATTGTGGTCAGAGAAGATGCTTGATATTATTTCATTTTTTTGAATGTTTTTAGACTTGTTTTGTGACCTAACATATGGTCTATTTTTGAGAATGATGTACGTGCTGAAGAAAACAATGTATATTCTGGCCCAGGTGTGGTGGCTCATGCCTGTAATCCCAGCACTTTGGGAGGCCAAGGCTGGCAGAACACCTGAGCTTAGGAGTTTGAAACCAGCCTGGGCAACATGGTGAAACCTAGTCTCTACTAAAAATACAAAATTTGGCCGGGTATGGTGGTGCACTTCTGTAATTCCAGCTGCTTGGGAATAACGACAATTGCTTGAACCTGGGAGGCGAAGGTTGCAGTGAACCGAGATCATGTCACCACATTCCAGCCTGGGCAATAGAGTTAGACTCCATCTAAAAAAAAAAAAAAAAAAAAAAAGAGGAATGTGTATTCTGCAGCCATTGGATGAAATGTTCTGTAAATATCTGTTAATCTATTAGGTCCATTTGGTTTATAGTGCAGATTAAGTCCAATGTTTCTTTGTTGATTTTTGGTCTGAAACATTTGTCCAGTGCTAAAAGTGGGGTGTTAAAGTCTCTAGTTATTATTGTATTGGGGCCTATGACACCCTTTAGCTCTAATAATATTTGCTTTATATATGTGGGTGTTCCAGTGTTGGGTGCATATATATTTAAAATTGTTATATCCTCTTGTTGAATTGATCTCTTTATCATATAGTGACCTTCTTTGTCTCTTCTTATAGTTGTCTTTAAATCTATTTTTTTCTGATATAAATACAGCTACTCCTGTTCTTTTTTGGTTTCCTTTGGCATGGAATTTTATCTTTTTCCATCCCTTCAGTCTATGTGTGTCTTTACAGGTAAAGTGTGTTTCTTGTAGGCAACAGATCATTTTTTAAAATTTATTTTATTTTTTTACCCATTCATTCACTCTATATCTTTTGATTGAAGAGTTTAGTCCCTTTGCTTTCAATGTTATTACTGATATGTAAGAAGTTACTCCTGCCATTTTGTTATTTGTTTTCTGGTCGTTTTGTGGTCTTCTCTTTCTTTCTTTTCTGTCTTCCTTTTAGAGGAGATGATTTTCCCAGTTGATACGATTTAGTTTCTTGCTTTTTATTTTTTGTGTATTCATTGAATTTTTTTATTTGAGGTTACTACGAAGCTTACAAATACTATCTTATAACTTATTATTTTAAACTGATAACACTGTTTGCATAAAGAAACAAACAAGCAAAAAGAAAACTAATGAAGACTCTATGCCTTAACTTTATCTCCTCACTTTTAAACTTTTTGTTGTTTCTATTTATATTTTATTGTACTGTCTCTGTCTCAAAAGTTGTAGTTATTATTATTATTTTTCTTCTTGTGGTTATTATTTTTAATTGTTCATTATTTAGTCATTCTACTTCAGAGTACTTTAAACACCACAGTTACAGTATTATAATATTCTGTGTTTTTCTGAGTACTTATTATTACCAGCAAGTTTTGAACCTTCAGATGATTTCTTATTGCTCAAAATGTCCTTTATTTTTTCTGGTCAAAGTCCTCCCTTTAGCATTTCCTGTAGGACAGGTCTGGCATTGATGAAATCTCTCAGCTTTTGTCTGTCTGGGAAAATCTTTATTATTCCTTCATGTTTGAAGGATATTTTCACCAGATATACCATTCTAGGGTAAAAGTTTTTTTTCCTTCAGCACTTTAAATATGCTATGCCACTCTCTCCTGGCCTGTAAGGTTTCCACTGAAAAGTCTGCTCTCAGACGTAATGGAGCTCCATTGTATGTTTTTTTTTTTTTTCTCCTGCTTTTAGGATCCTTTCTTTATCCTTGACCTTTGGGAGTTTGTTTATTAAATGTCCTGAGGTAGTCTTCTTTCAGTTAAATCTGCTTTGTGTTCTTTAACTTTCTTGTACTTGGATATTTATGTCTTTCTCTAGGTTTGGGAAATTCTGTTTTTATTCCTTTGAATAAACTTTCTACCCCTATTTTTTTCTCTACCTCCTATTTAAGGCCAGTAAGTCTTAGATTTGACCTTTTGAGGTTATTTTCTAAATCCTTTAGGTGTGCTTCATTTTTAAAAAAAATTCTTCTTTTTGGTCTCCTCTGTGTATTTTCTTTTTTTCTTTTTATTTTTTTTTGAGATGAAGTCTCGCTCTGTTGCCCAGGCTGGAGTGCAGTGGTGTGATCTCAGCTCACTGCAAACTTTGCTTCCCAGTTTCAAGCAATTCTCCTGCCTCAGGCTCCTGAATAGCTGGGATTACAGGCACCCATCACTACACCCAGTTAATTTTTGTATTTTTAGTAGAGATGGGTTTCACCGTGGTGGCCAGGCTGGTCTTGAACTCCTGACCTCAGTTGATCCACCTGCCTCAGCCTCCCAAAGTGCTGGGATTATAGGCATGAGCCACGATGCCCAGCCTTCTCTGTGTATTTTCAAATAGCCTGTCTTCAAGCTCACTAATTCTTTTGCTTGATCAGTTTTGCTTTTAAAAGACTCTGATGCATTCTTTAGTATGCCAATTGCATTTTTCAGCTCCAGAATTTCTGCTTGATTCTTTTAAATTATTTCAATCTCTTTATCTGATAGAATTCTGAATTCCTTCTCTGTGTTATCTTGAATTTCTTCGAGTTTTCTCAAGACAGCTATTTTGAATTCTCTGTCTGAAAGGTCACATATCTCTGTTTCTCCAGGATTCATCCCTGGTGACTTATTCAATTCATTTGGGGAGGTTATGTTTTCCTGGATGGTCTTGATACTTGTAGATGTCTGTTTGTGTCTGGGCATTCAAGAGTTAGGTATTTATTGTAGTTTTCTCAGTCTGGGCTTGTTTGAATCTGTCCATCTTGGGAATGCTTTCCAGATATTCAAAAGGACTTAAATGTTTTTATCTAGGATGTATCTGCATTAGGGGTCATCCCAAGCCCCTGTGGTTCTTGTAGACTTGTAGAGGTATGGCCTTGATGGTCTTGGACAAGATCTGGAAGAATTCCCTGGATTACCAGGCAGACTGTTGTTCTTTTCCCTTACTTTCTCCCAGACAAATGAAAATTCTCTCTCGGTTCTGAGCTACATGGACCTGGGGATGAGAGACACAAGTACCCCTGTGGCCACCAGCACTAGGACCGTGCTGGGTCAGACCTGAAGCCAGCACAGAACTGGGTCTTGCTCAAGGCCTGCTGTAGCCACTCCCTGGCTACTACCCATGCTTTCTCAAGGCCCTGGGACTCTACAATTAGCTGGTAGCAACGCCAGCCAGGCCTGTGACCTTCCTTTCAAGCTGGCAAGTTCTCCTAGGCCCTGGACAGGTCTAAAGGTGCTGTCTGGGAGCCAGGAACTAGAGTAAAAAGCCTTAGAAGTCTACTTTGTGTTCTATTGTAGTGTGGCTGAACTGGCACTGAACCCACAAGATGCAGTCTTTCCCACTCTTCCCTTCCCTTTCTAAGGCAGCAGAGCCTCACCCCATGACCACCCATGGGGAGTACTGCCAGACTATTGCCAATGTTCCGTTGAGTCCCAAGTGCTCTTCATTCAGCTTGTGGTGAATGCTATCTGGCCGAGGACTCACCCATCAGGGCAGCAGGCACCCCTCTGGCCAAGTCCTGGAATCAGGGACCCAACAGCCCACTTGGTGCTTTACTCCCCTGTGGCCTAGCTGGTACCTAAGGTGCAAGACAAAATCGCCTTTACTTTTTCCTCTCCTTTCCTCAAGTGGGAGGAGTCTTGCCCCATAGCCACCACAGCTGGGAATGTGCTGAGCCTCAGAGTCTCAGCCAAGGCCCTGATGTGGTACCTAGGTGTTGGTGCTGGTTATTCAGGGCTCAAGGGCTCTTCAGTTAGCAGGTAATGAATCCGCCAGGACTGGGTCCTTCCCTTCAAGGCAGCAGGTTTCCTTTTGGCCCAGGGTGTGTCTAGAAATATCATCTAGGCACTAGGGCCTGGAAAGGGGGCCTTGTGACTCTGCCCATTGCCCTATCCTGCTAGGGCTGAGCCGACATCCAAGATACAAGACAAAGTCCACCCCACTCATCTGTCTTCTCTCCTCAAGCAAACGAAAGGGGTCTTGTTTGGAGCCATGAGCCGTGCAGCCTGGGGTTAAGGGAGGAGTGATGCCAGCACTCCCTTAGCTGCCCTGGCTGGTGTCTCAGTATGTCATGTGCCCCCCCAATCCTCTGGCTCTGGGCACAGTTGAGCACTAGGATTGTCCTAGAAGTTGCAGTCCTTGTGACCTAGAGTGCCTTTCTAGTTGATGTAGGGTGCCAGAGCACTTCAGCTTATGGTGGCAAGGCTTGTAGCAGCTCAGATTCAGATCGCTGGGATGGGCATCTCCACTCTGGCCAGGGCTGATTTAAATGCTCCCTTCCTGGGTGAGCATCAGCTGAGTTTGGTCTGGCTTTCTTTTCTGCTATAACAGGGCAGCATTGAGTTTTAGGCCTCACGATTGCTATGCTCTCCCTCTCCCCAGTGCACAGAGATGCTCTGGGCACCATGCAGCCACTGCCAGGGGTTGGGGAGGGGTGGCATTGGTGATTCAGGACTGTTTTTCCTAACTCCTCAGTGCCTCTTTCAGTGATATGAAGTTACAACCCGGTACTGTGAGTGTCCACCTGATTTTTGGTTCTCATGAAGGTTTTTTTTTTTTTTGTGTGTGTAGATGGTTGTTAAACTGGTGTCCTTGCAGGGGAAGGAAGATTGGTGGAGCCATCTGTTCTACCATCTTACTCTGCCTCCTTGGTTTTTCCAGGACAGACGTTCCTGGTTGGCAATATGCAAAGAAAGGAGTGGAATATTGCTAAAACTGGAGCTGACTGAATTCTGAAATACCAGCTCATCAAGTAAGTTGTCAATTCCCATCCAGCTGAATTGGGAAGTAGTGGAGACACCTAAAACTTAAGCTAAATAAAGAACACCTGAATAACATAGTGCTTTCTATTCTGTTGTTACAGTTAACAGCCTTGATGATTCAGAGAAAAACAGTACTAATCTGGGTGAGTAATGGTGTCACTTGGCAGTGCTCTGGATAAAGTAGTACCTGCAAAAAGCCCATCTGTTTCTTCTGACCTGGTAGTGAAGGCAATAGCTGGAGGTGACCAGACTGACTTGAAAATAAGCAGGCTCAGCAAGGCAGCCATTTGAGGAAATTCACTGGGGCTGATGCAAGACTCAGAGAGAAAGAAGCTTGACATAGCCCATTTTCATGTATTACTTTCCAGAACAGCTTCTTTGCTATTTATAGGCACATGTGTTATCTTGGCCTTCTGGGAGCAAAAATTCCTGTGTTTGACCAGAGCTGTTTTTGCCAGTAGGCAGTTCCTAAGAGAAACAGGGCATTTGTTTGTTTTACTTTTGGTTTTGCTAAATAAAAGCTGAAATTTTGCAAATACCAGACTTGTTTAGTATCAGGCACTTTATAAACGTAAAAATGTGCATACATGTTTTATTGCAATTGCCTTTCATGTGACACAACAGAAATCAGAGCCGACCATAGCATTCAGCGCTGTGTACATGGAGGGAGTCCAGCTTGGGTGAGAGGAGTGTGTGCATAAAAACACAGGTTTCTAGAGAGACTCATCAGAAACCAAATGCATGTCCTCAGAGCATGAAGGTGCTTTTCCTTTTGATTCTCCTGAAGATTCATTTTTTATATCATGCTGTGAACACATAAGTGAAACCTAGGTAGTTCTGAAGCCCTTTGTCTTCCTCTGTTGCTCTTAAAAAAGTAGGTTACCTTGAGTACGACTCCCTTCCCTTGTAGTTCTGAGTCTGTTGGCGGAAGACATGCGGCGAGGTGGAGCCAGCCTGGCTGTGGGAGGCAGGGATGAGGGTTCAGAAACCTGCGAGGGGAGCACGCCCACACTTCCTTTTATGAAATGCTATGTGCCATTTCAATATGTGGCAACCATGTTCAGAGAAACTATGGATAGAGTTTCCTCAAATGATCCTGGCAGTTTTATTTTTATTGATTGACTGATTGATTGATTGACTGAGATGGAAGCTTGCTCTGCCGCCCAGGCTGGAGTGCAGTGGCACCATTTGGCTCACTGCAACCTCCACCTTCTGGTTTCAAGTGATTCTCCTGCCTCAGTCTCCCGAGTAGCTGGGATTACAGGCACGTACCACCACACCTGGCTAATTTTTATATTTTTAGTAGAGACGGGGTTTCACTGTGTTGTCCAGGCTGGTCTAGAACTCCTGACCTCAAGTGATCTGCCTGCCTCAGCCTCCCAAAGTTCTGGGATTACAGGCATGAGCCACCGTGCCTGGCCCCTGGCAGTTTTAAAAAAAGGAAACCCATTGTAAACAGAGACTGATCTTAGATAAGCAAACAGAGAATGTACCAGAGTTACCAGGGACATAAAACTGTTGGTTAACATCAGAATATTGGTTGAGAAAACCAAATGCCAGGAGGGCTGTTGTTTGCTTTCTGATTGAATTTCTAGTATTTCCAGTATTGAATTAGAACCCATATTTTCTCTAGGGCCCTAAATTATTATTTTATCACTTTTGCCACCTTATTTGGTTATGTCTCAACAGGGATTTGACTATAGTCTTTATATCTACAGGGTTTATCTTGTTTTAATATATCGAAGATCATTTAATGAACTATGATAAAATTATAAGAAAATTTGAAATATTGAATTGCTTAGATATCTTGCTATATTCATTTGATAAATTGAATAGAGATATTAGGATTAATATGAAGTTTATAAATATGGCATCTATAAAAATTAAAGTTCTAGGAAGACAGATATCAGAATCATCTTTTTGAGTCAGTCCCTGCAAATAGCCTTATATGATTTCAAGGGCTTGTTTTTATTTGGTAATTTCTGGCTTTTGTGGCAGGAAAAGAGACCTCCGAGAAAAGAGGAAAGAGGCTGGGCACAGTGGCTCATGCCTGTAATCCCAGCACTTTGGGAGGCAGAGGCGGGCAGATCACCTGAGGTCAGGAGTTCAAGACCAGCCTGGCCAACATGGTGAAACCCTGTCTCTACAAAAATACAAAAATCAGCCGGGCATAATGGCAGGTGCCTGTAATCCCAGCTATTCGGGAGGCTGAGGCAGAAGAATTGCTTGAACCTGTGAGATGGAGGTTGCAGTGAGCCGAGATTGTGCCATTGCACTCCAGCCTGGGCAACAGAGCAAGAGTCCATCCAAAATAAAAAAAAAAAAAAAAAAAGGAAAGAAAGAGAAAGCAGAATGGAAAGGGGGATACAGTAACTAAATCTCTATTTCTCCTTGACTTATCAGAGTTGGCAGTTTTCTTAGGGAGCCATATTAGCCATATTTCAATCATTTCAGGATTTGTATGACTTTGCCTATTTTCATGTTTTGCGGGGATTAAGAATAGCACCTTGCGAATAGCACCTTAAGAACAGCACCTTAAGAACAGCACCTTGCTTTGTGTCACTATGGATCAACTCACTGAAGGCCGTTGATAGGGATCATCTAGCTGACTGCAGAGACATTATTTTAGTGTGGTTTAATCCAGCTTAATAATAAGCTCTCCTCCAGACACAACCCATTTTCCGAGTCAGAAAACTGATGTTCTCATCCTTGCTGTCATATTCAAGCCAAGCAGTTCTGTGTGTGTTTTTATTTTTGTGACAAAGTCTTGCTCTGTCGCCCAGGCTGGAATGCAGTGATGCGATCTCAGCTTACTGGAACCTCTGTCGCCTGGGTTCAAGTGATTCTCCTGTCTCCCCAGTAGCTGGGACTACAGGCGTGCACCACCATGCCCAGCTAATTTTTTGTATTTTTAGTAGAGATGGGGTTTCACCATGTTAGCCAGGCTGGTCTCAAACTCCTGACCTCAGGTGATCTGCCCTCCTCAGCCTCCTAAAGTGCTGGGATTACAGGCATGAGCCACCATGCCCAGCCTCTGTTCTGGTTGTTTTAAAATTCACACAGGGCATATTTTATTTTATGATTTTTATTTACTTAATGCAAGTTGCATCACAGCCTGTGGCTGCAAATGGGGTCCTTGTTGTTGTTAAGTGTATTCGCCAGTTTAACAGCTTTCTTCTTGTTCTCTCTTGGAATCCTGATTCTCTAATCCAGAGGCCCAGACCCTGGATGCACCTTCAGGTCTGTGAGCCGCTGCCTGGGTCCCTTGATGGAAACTCAGAGATCAGAATCAACTGCTTTGTTTTTGGGAACCTAACACTAGACTGTGCCTAGCCTTCTGGTCCGGACCAACAGTGAGTTGTGTGGAGAGGTGTCCACACACACTGTCCTGGGCTGGTCTTTCTGTCTCTAGCCTGGCCCCCTGTTGCAAGTAGGTCTCCAGGACGCAGGCTGTGAGGTGGAGCTTTTCATGCAGGGAGGTTGTTGAGAATTCCTCCTGGGAGCAACACTCCTGGGAGTAAAAAGATCAGGATTGGGCAGAGGGAGAATGTGAGCTGTGATGCAGTCACAACAGAGTGACGGCCCTTCAGAACCGTCAGAATTTAGGGAGCTGGGCCTTTATGTCCATCAGACAGTCCTGGTCCTGGCTGCCCCTAGGAACAGGGTGTGAGGCAGGAAGGGCTGACCCATCCTGAGAGGATATCTGTTCCAGGCAGGGTGAAGCCACCCTTCCCAGGGAAAGGGCTCCAGCAGACCTTCTGTGCCCCAGGGATCTGGTTGACCATCTCTGGCGTGGTGGTGTACAGGGCCCTGTGTCGGTTGCTGTCACAAGTGGGTGGCACACTGAACAGCGGTGGTTGGAAGAATGGCCCTGTGGCCCTTTGGCCTCCACCTTTCCTTCTACCGTTGACACTCTCTGCATGTGCCTGCCGTGCCGGCCCCAAGGTGGCTGATGACAGACGCGCTGATGTCGACTGCTGAGCCACTCTGCTTGCCTGGGTGTTGGATGTCTCTTCTGTGGTGGGCATGGTGCTCTGTGCCACTCCCACAGGGCCGCCGCGGCCCCTTCCTTTGTCCTCCATGTCTCTGGCTTCCCGTTGTTTTCCTTCAGGCCCCTCCCTGCCAGCCGAGCCTGCTGCCTCTTCCACAAGTCCCTGTGTGTTCCAACCTCAGGCCACAGGGATGGTGGGTGTGGGCCAGGGGCTGCCGCCTCGCGGGGCTGCCCTCGGTGGGGCTGTGGTGCATGCCAGGGACCAGCACTGGAGCTATGTGGGCCTTGCTCTTCCTGGATGAGCTGGTCCAGACTTGCTGCCTCCCAGTGTGGCCACAGGTGTGCGCCGGGGGAGGACACTGAGGTGATGATGGGGGTGGCGTGATGTTCAGAGCGCTGGCTTGTGGGCTCGCTGCCCGTTCTGGTCTGGATTGTGCCTGACCCCGGGCACCCCTTCCCTTCCCAGTGGCTTGCTCCCTGCAAGGTGAGGTGATGGGCTCACTGGACCTGTGGCTTAGTAGGTCCGACAGAGCCTGCCATCGTGGCAGCCCTGGCTGCTCGGCCACCTGGTTGGCTATGATCATGCACACTCTCTCTCCCAGGGCCAGTAGTGCACCAAGAGCCATTCTCGAAAGGTGTAATTGTCTGCTCCAGCCAACAGGGCATTGCTTAAGGCCTGGCGGTCCTGGAGGGACCTGCCTTAAGACACTGCTCCACCTGCTGTCTTTCCTCACTGCAGATACCTCTAATATCATAGGCTTTCCTGAGTTGTGTGGCCCAAGTGGCAGGGCCTCTGTACCCCAGAAGAGGGTTGAGATGTGAGATGGTCACAGTAGAAGCTGCAGCCAGTCCCTGAGGTGCTCTGAAGCTGGGGAGGCCCTTTAGAGTGCTGCGGATCCAGGGAGGGCACTGGGCCCTCAGACGCGTGCATGGACCAGCGTTGCATGTGCACTGCCCCCAGAAAAGACTTAACCTCAGGCGGGGGGATCTCATGTGAAAGCTGTCAGCTGCCAACTTCTCTCCCTTCCCTTTCCAATTTTTGATTATTATATTTAGTTGCCAGTATTTATAATATTTGTATTATTCTGTAATCATATTTGTTTTAATGTTAGTACTATTCTTGCCAGCCCCACTTTTTTTTTTTTTTTGAGACTGAGTCTTGATCTGTGGCCAAGCTGGAATGCAGTGGCACAAACTTGGCTCACTGCAACCTCTGCCTCCTGGGTTCAAGTGATTCTCCTGCCTCAGCCTCCTGAGTAGCTGGGACTACAGGTGCACACCACCATGCCTGGCTAATTTTTGTATTTTTAGTAGAGATGGGTTTTCACCATATTGGCCAGGATGGTTTCGATCTCTTGACCTTGTGATCCACCTGCCTCGGCCTCCCAAAGTGTTGGCATTACAGGCATGAGCCACCACACCTGGCCTACCCCTGCTTTTTTTTGACATAGGGTCTTGCTATGTTGCCCAGGCTGAAGTGCAGTGGCTTGATCATGGCTCACTGCAGCTTCAACCTCCTGGGTTCAATTGATCCTCCCACCTCAGCCTCCCAAGTAGCTGGGACTACTTGGTGTGTGCCACCACACCTGGCTAATTTTTGTATTATTTTGTAGAGATGGGGTCTCACTATGTTGCCCAGGCTGGTCTTGAACTCCTGGGCTCAAGTGATCCTCCTGCCCTCAGTCTCCCAAAGTGCTAGGATTACAGGTGTGAGCCACCACCACTAGCTTCTTTTTTGCAGTAGTTTTTCCTGTTATGTTTGGTTGGCTGACATTCATTCTTTGGTAGTTTCTAAAGACAAACTTATGGAAAACAGGAGGTTGAGGCTTTTTAATCTTTTAGCTTAATTCTTGAATGACAGCTTGGCTGTATATAAAGTTCTCAGGCTATTTGTTCTTTCCTTGAGCACATTTATACATTGCTCCACTGTCTTCTAGCATTGAACATTGATGGGCAGAGCCTTGGGGTCAGCCTCATCCACTCCCTGCTGCCTCTACTTATGGGTGACTTGAACTTTTTACCTTGATGTACACAGGCTTTTTGTTTTCTTCTTCTTTTCTTTTTTTGAGACAGAATCTTGCTTTGTTGCCCCAGCTCGAGTGCAATGGTGCGATCTTGGCTCACTGCAACCTCCGCCTCCTAGCTAGGGTTCAAGCTATTCTCCTGCCTCAGCCTCCTGATTAGCTGGGATTACAGGCACACACCACCACGCCTGGCTAATTGTTGTATTTTCAGTAGAGATGGGGTTTCGCCATTTTGGCCAGGCTGGTCTTGAACTCCTGACCTCAGGTGATCCATCTGCCATAGCCTCCCAAAGTGCTGGGATTACAGGCGTGAGCTACCGTGCCCAGCCTATACAGGCTTTTTGGAATATGCCTCAGTGCTGAATGCTTTGTGTCAATTTTTTCTCGGACATGGTAGATTTATGTCTTCTCCTAGTTCTGGGACACTTTCTTGAGTTATATTTTTAAATATTTAGTTTGTCTCATTATTTTTGTTTTCATCTTATACATAAATTGGGCCGCCATTGCCATTCATCCATAGCAGTTAGTTTCTCTCTGATTTTTTTTTTTAATTATTTGCTTCCATTTCCTTTTTCCTGCTTTTCTAATTCTCTCTTCTCCAGCTCTTCCTGGGTTTTTGGCAATGCTTAGTCTCCCTTGTGTTACTTCCAGTTTTTCTTTCATTTTTGTGATTTTCTTTCCTTCCACTTCTTTTCCAAGGTCTGCTAGTCATTAAAAAAATACTCTATTTCCTTATGAAATATTTTTTGTGTCCTCGTCTTTCCTCTTTGTAGTGGTTTGAATCTCCTGCATCATATTGGCAGTTGCTTCAACATCATGAAAAAGTCCATGATGAAATACTTGTTCATAATTTTCACTTGTTTTGCTATAGGGTACTTGCACAGATAAGGATAGACATTTCTTTAACAGGGACCAAATATATTCTCTTACCCGAAGCAACCAAAAATCCACACAGAAGATATAAAACCATGGATATCAAGCAATGAAGATGGGAAACAAGGGAGATGAGTCCCGCAGCCGCCCCAGCTTGCCGCGTGCAGGGAGTTTCCAGGTTGTGGCATGGGAGGGAGAACCCAGGAAAAGCCCACAGCCTCCCTGACTTGGGAGGCATAGCTGGGAATCTGGGAGGCCAGGATGGCTGGATTTTGCAGGGCAGAGTGCTGGCGAGGAGAGAGCTGCACAGTAAGAAAGAACTCTGGAGGTCTCCAGAGGTCCCCATTGAGTATCCAGCTCAGTACAGATTAGTACGAGTGTGAAAAAAGCACCTGAGGCTGGGGAAAGAGACACCTGGGATGATCCGAAGCCCACTCCTCAGAGCTCACCTGGGACCTGAGACAGAGCCTGCTCCCCCAGCAGTCAGGCAGAACACCCAGAAGGGTTTTGCCTCAGTCGTGAAGATAATTTTTCCCTTGAAAAGTCCAACTTTTAATATTCAAAGACAGCTGGATAAATGGGGAAAAGCCAGTTTGTTATGAGGATACATTGACCAGAGACTAAATGCTGACCTGGTCCTGCTTTGCAAAGTTTAAAGGCAAGATCTAAAAGGATCAAACTGTTTTAAAGAAATGTACTATGGCTGGGCACGGTGGCTCACGCCTGTAATCCCAGCCCTTTGGGAGGCTGAGGTGGGCGGATCACGAGGTCAGGAGTTCAAGACCAGCCTGGCCAACACAGTGAAACCACGTTGCTACTAAAAATACAAAAATTAGCTGGGCGTGGTGGTGGGCGCCTGTAATCCCAGCTATTCGGGCGGCTGAGGCAGGAGAATCACTTGAACCCAGGAGGCAGAGGTTGCAGTGAGCCAAAATTGCGCCACTTCACTCCAGCCTGGGCGACAGAGCTAGACTCCGTCTCAAAAAAAAAAAAAAAAAAAAAAAAAAAAAAAAAAAAAAAAAAAGAAATGAACTATGTCCAAAACTCAAGATTATTTTAGGAATACAAAAAAGTCTAGCACCTGACAATCACATTGGTAATAAAAAAAATTGCCTAGCATGCAAAGGAATAGGAAAATAAGATCCACAATGAGGAGAAAAATCATCAAAACTGACCCAGAAATAACGTAGGTATAGAATGAGCAAACAAGAACGTTAAAACAGTTATAACTGCATTTGATACATTCAAGAAGCTACAGGAAAGATTGAACATGTTAAGTAGTGACACAGAAAATATAAAAAAGACTCAAGTTGAACTTCTAGAAGTAAAAACCACAATGTCTGAGATGAAAAGCAGAATTGATAGGATTAGGAATTCATCCTAACTGAATGGGATTAGACACTGAAGAATAATACGTAGTAGTGAAGTTAACTACATAGCAATAGAAAGCATCCACAATGAAACACCAAGAGAAAAAAGAGTCACAAAAGGGCTCCTCGAGTAAGAGAAGGTTCCTCCTGCCTGCCTTCGAGCTGGGACATTGGCATTTTCCTTCCTTCAGACTCAAACGGAAACACTGGTTCTTCCTGGGTCTTAAGCCTCCCCGCCTCAGCCTGAAGCCTTCAGTCTCCAGCTCTCCTTACTGCTGGCTCACCCTGCAGATATTCAGACTGGCTGGCCGGCCTCCAGAATCACACAGGACTATAGCTTTTTTTTTTTTTTTTCTTTTTTGTGGGCAAAGGGCTGAGATTACAAGTAAGAGTCACCATGCCCAGCCCAGTAAATTCCTTATAATAAATCTCTCTCTCTCCCTTTCTCAGAATATATGTGTTTTTAGAATATGTATATTCTGTTTCTCTGGAGAACCCTGACTAATACAGTATCTCTCCATTTATTTATTTATTTGAGATGGAGTCTTGCTCTGTCATCCAGGCTGGAGTGTGCAGTGGTGCAATCTCGACTCACAGCAACCTCTGCCTCTTGGGTTCAAGCAATCCTCCCACCTCAGCCTCCCGAGTAGCTGGGATTACAGGTGTGCACCACCATGCCTGGCTAATTTTTTTTTGTATTTTTAGTAGATACTGGGTTTCACCATATTGGCCAGGCTGGTCTCGAACTCCTGGCCTCAAGTGATCTGCGTGCCTCGGCTTCCCAAAGTGTTAGGGTTACAGGCATGAGCCACTACTCCCGGTCTTCCATTTATTTTTGTTTTATTTGATTTCTCTCAATAATATTTAGTAGTTTCAGTGTACCCCCAATCTTTTAGTTTTTTATCCTATTATAAATAGTATTTTTTGTCAATTTATGAGTTCTAGCAGAGATAGAAGTATATAAACATGTAACATGAAATCATAAACTGTATACAATATAAGATACACATAAACCCCACGATTTTTATGTACAGTATGTGAACTAGATAAAAGTGGCTCAGCTGTGGGTGAGGGGCGGTGCTGGAGGAGCGTGGAGCCCTTCCCCTGACCTCCCATCCCAGTGCTCCATTTCCCTGAAGCAGTGAGGAATTCTGCACCAATTGATTTGAAAATTGTTGGTCTAAAACAATCAGACATCTTGGGACACTCTTTCCTTCACTAGATTGATGTGCTCCCAACGAGAAAGTAATTTGTAGACTCCCATGGTCCATGTTACATTTATCTTCCAAAATATCAATAAGATTGATTATACAATAGTGTTATCCACTGGGAAATGCTGCTATGAAAATATATGTGCTATAAAAATGCATCTGGGAAATTTTTGTGAGGTTAGCATGTCTTATTAGTAAGATAATTATAAGTTTGCAAGTATTTCTTGCTGGATTGTGTGATTATCATATGTGTCTCAGCGTCTGCAATGACAGAAAATTGAATGTAGGGTAATACTCTTATTTTATATTGACATCCTTCTTTGCCATGTCCTAACCTCTATTTTTTTTTTCTTTTTTGAGACAGGGTCTCACTCTGTCATCCAGGCTGGAGTGTAGTGACACAATCATAGCTCACCACAGCCTCGACCTCCCGGACTCAAGTGATCCTCCTGCCTCAGCCTCCTGAAGAGCTGGGACTACAGCTGTGCACCATTGTGCTAATTTTTAAATTTTTTGTAGAACTGGAGTCTTCTTATGTTGTTTAGGCTGGAGTCCTGACCTTTTTAAGGTCAGAGCCATTATATATATTTACACACACACACACACACACACACACACACACACACACACGGTGTAGTCCCGTGAAAGTGACAATGTTCCCAATCATTCCTCTGTGAATCTGTAGGAACGGACACCTAGGGCTCAGTTAAGACCCAGCTCTGTGATTGCTTCTTGTATCAATTCTCTTGAGTCTCTATAACAAAACAGCACAGTTTGGGTGACTTAAAAAATGGAAATTTATTTCTCACAGTTCCGGAAGCTGGGAATCCAAGATCAAGGTGCTGGCTGATTTGCTATCTGGTGAGGACCCCTTCCTAGCTTGCAGCCAGCCACCACATTGTGTCCTCACATGGAGGAGAGAGAGACAGCCCTCTTTCCCTCCTTATAAGGCTACCAACCCCATCATGAGGAGCCTACCCTCATGGCCTCATCTAACCCTAACCCCTCCCAAAGGCCCATTGCCAATGATACAATGATATTTGGGGTTAGGGCTTCACCATATGAATTTGGGGGAGATACAGTTCAGTCCATAGCACCCTGCTTCACTCATTTGTTCATCTCTGATGGGTAGGGAGGAGCTTCTCACTGTCATCAGCCTAGCAAGGCTGATGTCACCTTGATCCAGCCACAGTTACTCTTGTATTTAAGTTTTTGACCCTTTGTTTAGTGTTTAAATCTGAGAGTCAACCTGCTAGATTCCTCATCTGTAATTAGTAGAGCAAGCCTCAGTCCTCCACATGGTATAGATAATGTTCACTGCTCTTCTATGTCTTTCCCTCCCTCCCTACAGGATCATGGCTGTCCCGAGAGTGCATGTGTAGTGCCATCCTGCTTCTCAGCGTTCTTACCACCAAAATTGATGCACAAATTATTGGACAAAATGAGCTCGGGATCTGAGGGAAAGACTGCAGAGAACATGAATACCTACAGTCAAACCTTGTTCTTTTCTGGAACAAACTGTTATGACTTGGATGAGCCTGATTCCAGGTCATGCTGCAGCTGGAGCTGTGCATCAAACTTTTAGTTCTGCTCAGATCTCTCTCTGCATCTCTCTATTTTGGGGTTAGTTCAGGTGTGTGTGTGTGTGTACACTTGCACACTGTGTGCAGGGGCACAGATGTGAGTTTCAAGAAAAGGTGGCTGTGAAGGCTGCTTCTTTCATGTTATTATCTTGTCCTTGTCCAGGCCACCACCGATATTAGGACTTAAGTCCAACTCTTATCACTTCTTTATTACAGAGAAGAAATGAACGGCCACTGGCCCATATCCTTTAAGTGCACAGCACATGAGACGTCCTTTCCTTGCCCAGGCAGTGACTTCAGGAAGCCATAGCAGTAAGGCAGGTACAAGGACCCTGTTGTCCTTCTGAAAATTATGAGACTGTCCGGGTTTCAGGTTCTAACATTTTAGTACTTAGGTCATCCACTTTGGAGGCTGGTTAAATAATCTTAGTTAACAGAGGGAAAATGACTTCAAAGTAAGTTGATCATGGATGCTACATATATTTTCTTTCTTTCTTTTTTTTTTTTTGAGACAGAGTCTTGTTCTGTTGCCCAGGCTGGAGTGCAGTGGTGTGATCTCAGCTCACTGCAACCTCTGCCTCCCAGGTTCAAGTGATTCTCCTGCCTCAGCCTCCAGAGTAGCTGGGACTACAGGCAGATGCCACCACGCCCCGCTAATTTTTGTATTTTTAGTAGAGACGGGGTTTCACCATGTTGGCCAGGCTGGTCTCGAACTCCTGACCTCAAGTGATCCACCTGCCTTGGCCTCCCAAAGTGTTGGGAATACAAGCATGAGCCACCGCACCTGGCCAGGATGCTACATATTTTTTTTTTTTTTCGAGACAAAGTCTCGCTCTTGTCCCCCAGGCTGGAGTGCAATGGTATGGATCTCAGCTCACTACAACCTCTGCCTCTTGGGTTCAAGCAATTCTCTTGCCTCAGCCTCCCAAGTAGCTGGGATTACAGGTGCCTGCCACCATGCCTGGCTAATTTTTGTATTTGTAGTAGAGATGGGGTTTCACCATGTTGACCAGGCTGGTCTCGAACTCCTGACCTCAGATGATCCGCCCACCTCAGCCTCCCAAAGTGCTGGGGATTACAGGTGTGAGCCACCGCACCTGGCCGATGCTACATATATTTTCTAATGATATTATGTGTCATTGTTTGATCATTCTGCTGGTTTTAATTTTTTAGATGGAGTCAAAATGTGAAACTTGTGCTCAACATTTGCTGAGGTTATTTAAGCCTTTACCTTTGTAGAAATAAAGTTTTCCAAAATAGGAAATTTCAATGCTATTTGAATGTCATTGAGGGGAAGGGAAGAGAGTGAGATTCTGGAGCATGCATGGAGGGATAAGCGCTTGCTGAACCACCACTACACATGAGAGTGGGACTCAGATGGCATCAGGTGTCTCTTGACACCTTGAGTTCTGCTGAGTCTGTACATGGGCAAAATTGACAAGCCTTTAACTAGACTGACCAAGAAAATAAAAAGAGTGAAGACTGAAATGACTCCAATCAGGGGTATTATTACTGACCTTAGAGAAATAAAAAGGATTATGCCAACACGCTAGATAACAAAGACAAGTTCCTAGAAAGACACAAACTAAAAAACTAACTCAAGAAGAAACAGAAAATCTGAATAGAACTACAAAAAGAAAAGAGATCAAATTAGTAATTAAAAAAAAAAACTAACCACAAAGAAAAGCTCAGGCCCAAATGCTTTGCTGCTGAACTCTACCAAACATTTACAGAATTCACACCAACTTTTTTTTTTTTTTTTGATACGGAGTCTCGCTCCTTCGCCCCCGGCTGGAGTGCAGTGGCGAGATCTCGGCTCATTGGAAGCTCTGCCTCCCCGGTTCATGCCATTCTCCTGCCTCAGCCTCCCGAGTAGCTGGGACTACAGGCGCCCGCCACCACACCCGGCTAATTTTTTTTGTATTTTCAGTAGAGAAGGGGTTTCACCGTGTTAGCCAGGATGGTCTGATCTCCTGACCTCGTGATCCACCCGCCTCGGCCTCCCAAAGTGCTGGGATTACAGGTGTGAGCTACCACGCCCAGCCCAACAAATCCATTTATAAAATATTAATAGTTGGTTTCTCAATACCATTGCACACTTAAAAAACAAAAATAAAATGCGCATTTCTTACAGCCTTGGAGAGGGTCCATTATTCTTGTGTTTACATATTTTTAAAACAGCATAAATGGATTTATTCTACGTGTAATGCTCCATGGCTTGGTTTTTTTTTTTTTTTTCTTTGAGACTGAGTCTCGCTCTGTCGCCAGGCTGGAGTGCAGATGCACGGTCTTGCCTCACTGTAACCTCCGCCTCCTGGGTTCAAGTGATTCTTGTGTCTCAGCCTCCCGAGTAGCTGGGATTATAGGCACAGGCCACCACACCAGCTAATTTTTGTATTTTTAGTAGAGACAGGGTTTCATCATGTTGGCCAGGCTGGTCTCAAACTCCTACCTTGCGATCTGCCCCCCTTGGCCTCCCAAAGTGCTAGGATTACAGGTGTGAGCCACTGTGCCCGCACCCCCGCCTCCTTTTTTTTTTTTTTTGAATCTAACAATGTGTTTTATCAGCCTTTCCCTGGCAGTATATGTGGGTCCACCCCATGCTTTAAGTGGCTGCATGTTAGTCACTTTGACTCCTGCACACAGTTGGTCCAACATTCAGGTCAATTTTTAGTTTTCGTCATTACTGATGATGCTGCAAAGAATAAATTTGTATGAACCTCTTTGTGCACATGTGTGAATATTTCTAGAGGAGAGATCCTGTGTGTAAAATTTTGTATCTCATTAAGATTCAATCTTTATCTCCATAATGACTGATGATATTGTGCTCGTTTTCAGATATTTATCACCCATTTGCATCTCTTCTGGGAATTACTTTTTTGAGGGGGGAAGTATCTTTTCTTCCCTTTTTTTTTTTTTTTTTTTTTTTTGAGACAGAGTCTCGCTCTGTCACCCAGGCTGGAGTGCAGTGGTGGTGCGATCTCGGCTCACTGTAACCTCTACTTTCCGGGTTCAAGAGATTCTCTTCCCTCAGCCTCCCAAGTAGCTGGGATTGCAGGCTCCTGTCACCATGCCCAGCTAATTGGCCCTGTGTAACTATTTTGGAAATCTTTATTTCTACAAAGGTAAAGACTTAAATAACCTCAGCAAATGTTGAACACAAGTTTCACATTTTGACTCCAACACACACCTGTAATTAGTTTTTTTAAAAAACAAATTACAAATTTAAATTTTCAGCTTTATTTAAATAATTTTGTTTCTTTTTTTTTTTTTTTTTTGAGACGGAGTTTCACTCATCGCCCAGGCTGGAATTCAGTGGCGCCATCTCGGCTCACTGCAGCCTCCACCTCCCAGGTACAATTCTCCTGTCTCAGTCTCCCAAGTAGCTGGGATTACAGGCGTGCACCATCACACCTGGCTAATTTTTGTATTTTTAGTAGAGACAGGGTTTCACCATGTTGGCCAGGCTGATCTCAAACTCCTGACCTCAAGTGACCCATCCATTGTGGCCTCCCAAAGTGCTGGAATTATAAGCATGAGCCACCATGCCCGGCCCCCTGTTGGTTTTATAGAAACTGTTGATAAATGTTGGCTATTAATCCATTGGTTTTTACGTGCGTTGAAAACAGTTTCTCCCAGCCTGTCACTTTTCACACTGCTTATATTCTATTTCATCATTCAAAAGTTCTAGTCGTCCACACATAGTAAGCCTTTTCTCTTCCATTCTAGTACTCTTCCTTTTCTTTGTAGCATTGGTTTGAACCTCAGCTTTGTTAGACAGAGTGTTGGTGGTGAACGTCTTGTCTTTTTTGTTTGTTTGTTTTGAGATGGAGTCTGGCTCTGTCGCCCAGGCTGGAGTTCAGTGGCATGATCTTGACTCACTGCAACCTACGCCTCCAGGGTTCAAGCAATTCTCCTGCCTCGGACTCCCAAGTAGGTGGGATTACAGGCACCAGCCACCACACCTGGCTACTTTTTGTAATTTTAGTAGAGATGTAGTTTCACCATGTTGGCCAGGTTGGTCTAGAATTTGTTACCTTGTGATCTGCCCGCCTTGGCCTCCCAAAGTGCTGGGATTACAGACCTGAGGCCCAGCCAGCCAGGCCCGAATGTCTTGTCTTGTTCCTGCTTGAACAAGAAGATGTTGTTAGTGGTTGTGTTTGCTGAAACCCTCCATCAAAGGTTGACTCTCACTTAAGGAAGTTTCTGCTCTTGCACGGTTAGTTTCATAATGGTTTTGATTAGGCACAGATGACTTTTTATCCATGTCCTTCATGGAGTGACCTGCATTGGGTGTGTCACATGCATCACAGGCCAGTAAAAATGCAGTTGGCTGCCAAGGAATTGGTTGCTTCATGCCTTTGGCCTCTGTGTGGGCTTTTTCGCAGGGGGACTCCTGCACTCTCACACCCCACTTTCCACCCATGAGGTGGAGGCAACCCTAGGCGGGATCTCTTCTGCCTGGAAACCCAGATTGCCACCCCTCAGTTGCTCCTGTGGAATCCTGGGGTTGCTGCCTGCGCTACCTGGCCTTTCCTTTCCATCCAGGAGCTCATAGTCCTCATTTGCCAGGCCGTCTGGCCTGGGTGAATGGAAGCCCTCTGGCCTCCAGCAAAAACTTTCTAGCTAGAGGATGGGATGGGCCACACTCAGACCATAGGGACTGAGGTGGGGTATAGGGGTCTTTCCAAGGACACTGCTGTGTAGGGCAGGCAACCACACAGGCATTCATGATAGTCTCCTTCCTATTGACAACCATGTTGACAACCTAGGCTCCTGGTCTCCCAGGCCCATAGAGTACTTCTCCTCCCCTCCTGCAGAGCATCCCCTTTCTGTTATTTCTGCAAGTCCCCAGAGAGGCACCTTACATATGCTCACAAGCATGTCTATGATCCCAGCCCCACTGCTCCTTAGAGAATGTCCCAGTGTGTGTTGAGGCTGCCTGCCCTATTCTTCCATGGCTCTCGGGGCCCAACAGCCCTGGGTCTGTCGAGCAGTGTGTGGAATGGGCCCTCCTGCCTGTGCGGTCCTCCCTCGAGAGCAGGGAGCATCATGCAGCTGTGTGAATCACAGCTGAGGAAATCAAAAGGGCAAGGCAAGAGTGTAAAGCTTTGCCACCATTGTTTTTTTTTTTTTCCCTACTACAAACCCTGGGACTACATTGGCTGTGTTTTCTATAATCTTAGTGGGTGAGAGATGTAACATGAAGAGTTGAGGAATGACATCTTTGGCGTTGCACTAGAATGGTAGATGCCACTATTGGCCTTTTTCTTTTTCTTTTTTTTTTTTTTTTGAGACAGAGTCTCGCTCTGTCGCCCAGGCTGGAGTGCAGTGGTGCGATCTTGGCTCACTGCAAGCTCCACTTCCCGGGTTCACGCCATTCTCCTGTCTCAGCCTCCGGAGTAGCTGAGACTACAGGCACCCACCACCATGCTTGGCTAATTTTTTTGTATTTTTAGTAGAGGTGGGGCTCTTCTCGATCTCCTGACCTTGTGATCCACCCACCTTGGCCTCCCAAAGTGCTGGGATTAGAAGCATGAGCCATCATGCCAGGCTAATTGGCTTTTTTATTTTATTTTATTTTTTTAGGCAGGGTCTCGGTTTGTTGCCCAGGCTGGAATGCAGTGGTGCAAGCACAGCTCACTGCAGCCTTGACCTTCCAGGGTCAAGCCATCCTCCTGCCTCAGCCTCCCGAGTAGCTGGGACTACAGGAGCACGACATCATGCCTGGCTAATTTTTGTAATTTTTGTAGAGACAGGGTTTCACCATGTTGGCCAGGCTGGTCTTGAACTCCTGGGCTCAAGTGATCTTCCCCACTTGGCCTCCCAAAGTGCTGGGGTTACAGGCGTGAGCTACCATGCCTGGCCAGCACTGGCTTTTGATGTTAGGAGCTTTCACAGCCCTTACCTCCAACACCTTGTTTGACACCAGAATTTTCTTGTCTTTATTAATATGAGGAGGGGAAGGGAGGTAGTCACAGAGTAATTTGAAGTAGTTAAAAAAACTGTTTGGCATTGTATTAATCTGGGTTCTCCAGAGAAACAGAACTTAACAACTTGTAGGTTATAACAAATGAAATGAACTTGTGCAGATATGTCTGGACTAAACAGTAAGACTTCGTCGAATGTATGAGCGAGTAAGAAGTGAGATTGTGTGCACTGTTGGGAAGTATTAATATAAGAAATGTCACTTCTCCCTGATTAATTAGTACAATACCAATCAAATATCAACTGACTTTTGTTAAAGCCTGAGATGTTGATCCCAAGATTCTCTTGGAAACTCTAACAGCTATAAACAGTAAAAACCCAATCTGGAGAGGAAGTACCAAGAGAGAGTGTTATTCCTACCAGATAGCAAGTCCCTTTATACAATTATGTAATTAAGAGACAGAAATAAGAAATAGCTCAATTAAGCAGAGGAGAAAAAGCCCAGAGATAGACTCACATGTGTATAGAAACTAGATCCAAGGCAGAGGGATCTTTGGGAACTCCTGGGGAAGAATGGACTCTTCCATATGAGGCGCCAGGAGGAGAGGTTATGCAGACAGGAAATGAATGAGATTCCCTGTCATACTCAAAAACCAGTTCCAGATAAATGCAGGCCTACATGTGAAAAGCAAAACTCTAAAACTTTGAGAGAAAAAATATAGCAGACTCTTCTGGGTTGATTTGTGTCCCTCCAAGAAGATCTCCTGAAGTCCTAACTCCCAGTATCTCAGAATGGGACCTTATTGGGGAATAGGGTCTTTACAGAGAAAACCAAGTTAAGATGAGGTCATTAGGGTGGGCCCTAATCCAATATGGACTGGTGTCCTTATGAAATGAGGAAATCTGGACGCAGACCCGACAGAGGGAAGACAGTGTGAAGACGTACAGGGAGCCTCTATGCCCATGGTAGTGAGAGCATCTGAGTACACATGGGGATGATGGAAATGCTTTCCTCTGGGGAGGAAGGGTGGCGCATGGGCTTCAAAGTGATCCGTGAAGTTATGTTCATTAGAAAAGGAAGTAAAGGCTGGGTGCTGTGGCTTACGCCTGTAATCCCAGCATTTTGGGAGGCTGAGGCAGGTGGATTGCTTGAGCCCAGGAGGTTGAGACCAGCTTGGGCAACATGGCAAATCTCTGTTTCTATGAAAAGTACAAAATGAGTTGGGTGTGGTGACGAGCACCTGTAGTCCCAGCTACTCAGGAGGCTGAGGTGGGAGGAACACTTGAGCCTGGGAGGCTGAGGCTGCAGAGAGCCAAGATCATGCCACTGCACTCCAGCCTGGGTGACAGACCTTATTTCAAAAAAAGAGAAGAAAATGTGACAAAATAATATTTATCTTATTATCCATGTTCTTTGTGCTTGAAATAGCTCAGTAAACAAGTACCTAGAACATCTTGTTGAGTGCTCAGCCGGCGAACGACCACGAGGATGTGGGGGTGGGGTGGGAGGTCTCACTTCTTTTTTTCCTTTTTTTTTTGAGACGGGGTCTCACTCTCACTCAGGCTGGAGTGCTGTGGCGCAATCGTGACTCACTGCAGCCTCGAAATCCTGGACTCAGGTGATCCTCCCACTTCCGCCTCCTGACTCGCTGGGACTACAGCCATGTCACTGTGCCTGGCTAATTTTTTTTTAAAAAGTTCTTTTTTGGAGATAAGGCTGGTCTCAAACTCCTTGGCCTCAAATGATCCTCCCACTTTGGCCTCCTGAAGTGCTGGGATTACAGGTGTGAGCCACTGCTCCCAGCTCAGGTTTCACCTTCTAATAGGAGGCCAGGCCGGCTTTGGTGGAGATGAGAAGGGAGGCCCAGGAGGAGAGGGAGCAGTCAGGATGGTGAGAGGGGTCAGAGCCCGTGGGCCAGTCAGTGAAGACACTGTTTTCCCCCTGAGGGACATGGGCAGCCACTTCGGGGTCTTGAGCTGAGAAGGGATATGTATGGACACACATTTAGCACTGTCCCACTGGCTGCAGCATTGAGGGGCGAGAAAGGGCCCTGGAGGACTGCAGGGTCAGTGCGTGGAGGAGGGAGAGGTGCTGGGGCATGGGGAGCGAGAGACGCTCAGACAAGTGCCTCTTGCATTTCAGACATTGGCCCGCCTGTGCCTTACACCTTTCTGTCTGGCGTGGGGTTTCATCTCCTTGAAGGCTAGGATCCCTAGGATGGTATAAACAGAACAGGGCTCTGGAACACCAGAGGGCTCAGGAAACTCACAAGTGACTTTTCCTTATGCTGTGACAAAAAGGTTCTCTGCAGCATTTTGAGCTTAAGATGAATTTGTACAGCACTTGGATTTTACTTTTGACTGCTTTGTGAAAGGGTCCCTGTCAACGTCATGCAGCTGTAGGATGAACTTGCTGCTGGAGCACTTCCCTGGAGGCCTGGCCTCCAGCCCCAGCCCCTCCCCACCTGCACAGTGCTGATGTTGCCTGGGGAGCCCTCAAGTCTCCCCAGATACTGTGTATTTTAATAAAAATATTAGCGTATTTTTTAGAACTCATAAACACCATGTTGGTCTCTTTTTTTACATTTTTAATGGGAGTCACAAGAAATCTGGCTTAAAAATAAGGTGAAACAAGGTGATATTTGACACAGAAATAGCAGTGCCTGTAGATGCCGAGACCCTCTCAGACGCTGGACATTGAAGGTAAACGTGCTGAGGTCTGCGTGAGTTGTTATTTGTGAAGTGCTGGACATGAGCACTGGCCTTCTGAAATGTCATCTGCTAAACCAAGAACAGAACAGGCCTTTCTCCCGGGAAGTTTTTATAAGCTGAAGACCCACGGCAGGACAGAGTTCACTACACAACATGGAGAACGCACAGGCGAGACTGTCTGGTGGGTGGTCTCCGCGCAGGATTAGGGGAGCCCATGCTTCCCAGTACCGAGAGTTAGACATGGAGTGGATGCAACTTTGAAAAATCTTTTTCATTTCCCCAGTTTAGTCACTAGGAGGAGCATGCACATAGCAAGTCCGTGTTGCTTTGCAAATCCTGATGAATTTCCGGAATTACACTTTTAAGATTAAGTTGAATAAGTTCTGAGCGCGATTCCCCATCCATGGGTGACTGTTTTGTTTGGAAACAGTTTCATTTGCTGTAAGAACTAAATGAGATTATGATAAAGAGGGTGCAGAAACCATAGAGAAGCCTCTAAGTTTTGCACTTGCTCCACGGGCCAGCCCTACTTTAGTGATGGAATTGACTGAAAGTCAATTATAATTTGGGTCAGTGTCAGGTGCTTTACACATCTGTTCCCTATACCCAGGAAATCTGTGCAACTTCTCCTGGGCATGTTTGGAACTGAGAGAAAGAAATGTAGGTGTGTCGGGTTTCAAAATACTCTATGTAGGAAGCATGCCTTGTTTTGATCAGTCACTTTCCTAGTTCTTATAAATATCTGGGGGGGGGATTGTTTTCTCTCAACTGAGTTTTATCAAAGCTGGAAGTGATTTTTTTTCTGTGCGCAGCTTATGGAGTTATCATAAGGTTGAAATGTTTTGAAAATGTGGAAGATAAAAGTGATTTTTTAAGGTGGTGGGATCGTAAGTGTACTACAAGTTACTTTCATTAATGTTGGAATGGTTTTATTAGGGCAATACTAACAATACTAATGGCTTGAGAGATTTTTTTTTTCTTCAATTTTAAAATCAAGTGCTTTTTCTTGGCTGTGTCAGGTAGGGATGAATTTGTACAGCACGTGGATTTTACTTTTGGTTGTGTGTTATGAGAGGGTTCGCATCACTGTCGTGCAGCTGCAGGATGAACTGGTTGCTGGAGAAATTTCTCCTGGAGGCAGGGCCATACAGCCTCCTCTCCCGGGTGTGCCCTGGGGAGAATCATCCCCCCACCCGCTTCTCCACATCGCCTGTAACATTTGTATTTAATAAGTAGCAAAAATATATCTAAACACAAGAATATCACTTTCATTGCATGGGGAACCTGCAGCTTTTTCTTTTCTTTCATTTTTTTTCTTTTTTTTTGAGACAGGGTCTCGCTCTGTCACCCATGCTGTAGTGCAGTGGCACAAACACAGCTCATTGCCACCTTGACTCTCAGGCTCAAGCAATCTTTCCACCTCAGCCTCCCAAGTAGCTGGGACTACGGGAGTGCACCACCGCACCTGGCTAATTTTTGTATTTTTTGGTGGAGACTGGGTTTCACCATATTGCCCAGGCTGTTCTCCTAGGCACAAGATCTGCCTGCCTTGGCCTCCCAAAGTGCTGGGATTACAGGTGTGAGCTACTGTGCCAGGCCCTATTTGTTTTTTAATATGAGGTTGTGTTGTATTGCAATTGTAATCAATAGAGTAGATATAATTTTGAACTACGTATTTAAACATGTTTTCAAGTCTTGTATGACATTGCATTAACTTACAGATTCATTTTTGATATTCACGATATGGTTTTAAAGTATCTTATATCTGCTTTCAAAAATCAAACTCATTATTTTCCAAATTACCATGAAAATAGTAACACTGTGTACGTGCTGGGTGACAGGTATTATTTTCTGTTGAAGTGAGTGCTCCTTTGAAATATGTTACTGTGTCTGACAAACTCAGACATTTTAAAGTTCTTCATCCTCTGCAGTCATCCAGATTTTCCCAAAGGCTTTTACTAAAATGTTTCCATTCCCAGTGGCTAAGTATGTGTGGGAAGGGGAAGAGCAGAGAATCTTTTATATCAGATGAGTGGTTTTTAAGAATGTTTTATTCTTGAAAGTAATAGCTTTTCTTCATGACAGTAGGCCTGACCCCACGACAGGAAACTTTTCTATCTCAGAGCAGGATAGAACCCTGTTGCCTGGGACGGGGAATTCAGCCTGGTTTGCTCCATTTGCCTGCACTGGCCTAGAGAAGGAAATGGGGTATTCAAATCAGTGTTTCACAGCAAACGGGAGTGGGGGGCTTTCTTCCACCTGGAGGAAGGGGTGGTAGAGACAGACTCTGTAGAACAGCTCCCCCGTTCCCCCCAACCTGGGCAGAAGCAGAGAAGGTGGCGAGTCCTTTGCAAAGTGAGTTCAGGCTGTGATTTGACTGTTTGCTGTCATTTCTTGGGAACCTGGCCGCAGCCACCAGCCCTTTGGGAGCCCCTTTCTCCCCCTAGGCCCTGGGCTGGGGTGGAGGCTCTCCCAACTGCAGCATAAGTGGAATGGAATAAAGGCGAATCTTCTTCTGAAGTTAAGTGTTGAATTTTCAGGTGGAGATCACTGAGGCTGTTCAAGGCAAAAGTCCTGTTCACAGAAAGTCTCGTTCACATGTCAGAGGCAGGCAGCAGCAACCAAGTAGGTGCCTAGATCCTGTTTATTCACTGGGGGGCCTTGACTTGATCAGAAGCGTTTTAGAGACCACAAACAATGCTCTCAGCTCTTAGGTGAGGAAAGAAGTTTCTGTGATGAGCAGATAACATGTTTTACATTACTCGTTCCCTGTAGTGAAATGTCATCTGTGATACAAAGGTTATGTTTTTCTTAAGGTGGTTTCTTTTGTCATTAAATGAAGCTATGTGCCCCTGCCGTGATCTCTCTGCTCCCAAGGCCTGCTCGGCTGCATCTGTCTTGAGCAAAATCTTTGCTTCCATAAATACTCCTTCCATTCTGTTGCCTCTCATCTCTAAGACCTCTGCATCCCATAATCTGATTTTCCATCTACTGATGCATTATGATCACTCAGATGTTCACTGTGAACCCCAGCAGTCTAGAAGAGAGACAGCTTTTTTAGAAGAGTAAGATATTAAAAAGTCGAATTCTCAAAGAGCAAGTGCGTTCCAGACCCAGAGTGTCCTGAGAGAGTTTCCGGTCTGTGGGTTTGGTCCCCAGAGCCACAGGTGCTGCTGGGAAGTGCCTGCAGACCCCTGGCAGTCCCATTTTAGCCACAGTGGTCTGCCCTAGATCTCGACTGTGCAACAATCAGTAGCCGTGTTAGAGGAGTCTTGGTGCATCTATAAATGCCAAGTTTTAGTCCCCAGGAAGTGGGTTCTTGTGATCTGGGCCCCTCCTTGACCAAGTCCAATCCAAACTGGAGGGCTTCGGAAGATGCCTTGAGTGTTTACCTAGATTTTGAGGCATCTGTTTCTTGTTGCAGTGAATATTCCTTTGAAATATTTTCCCTTGTCTGACAAATTCATCCCTTTGGTCCATTGCTGGTGGCAGGCTTGGTGGCCTGCCATGGCTTCTGCTGCCTGGCATGGTAGCTGAGGGGGCTCCGGCTGTGAAACCACGAGCCTGAGGTCCAGTTTTTGCTGGATGGAATTGTGGAGAGCTGAGGCCCCTTCTCTTCTTAAGCCATTCAGATTTATGGACTGTGGCCCCAAGAGAAGGAGAGGAGGAGATTTAGGCTGCTATGTGGATAATGGAGCCAACCCCCAAGACACTCGTTAGCTTAGATTACTTGGGCGATTTATTTGGGGTCTGGGCATCTGGTCTGAGGTGGGGGCTCCTGGAGACACACTCAGCCCTGCCCTTCTGGCAGAAATGGCCCGAGCCCTCCCCAGCTGAACATACCATGTGCTGCAGATGAGCGAGCTCAGATTTGCAAAGGGTTCTAACACTCCCTGGTGAAAGGCACCGCATGAGTCTGGACATTCAAATGCTTGTTTTACCAAACAGCTCCAGAGACACAAGACAGAGGTGCCATGAACAAGCTTAGGGTCCAGGGCCCCTCTGAGTCCAAGATCCAGCTGCCCCAGTCACCAGAAGTGACTATCAGACTCCGGGAACACCAGGCCTTACCTGTTTTGTGGCATTCATCAAGCATGCTTACATTAAATAAATGCATATAGAAAGCTGGAAGGGGGAGAATAATTTGTTGTTTTCAGTTTTGCTCTATTGAGTCTAAGGTTACTAGAGGAATTCTCTGCCCTGCCTGGCGCTGGGCACCTTCAGTTCTCTTAAAGAACGAGTTGAAACAAAACCAGGTGCTTAGAAGTAGATTGAGTTTATTTTGTTGGTTTAAGCAATTGGCTGATTTTAGCATTCGGATGCTCTCATTTCAATGTTTTTTTTTTTTTAACAAAGCTTCAAGGTGCTTCCTTCAAATGAAATCAGGGACTGCTTCTCTGCTTTGTTGAAGTCAATAGATAAAGTTTATCATGCTATTTTCACTAAAGAGTAGCTGTTGGATTTAACCTTGGTTCATGTTCATGACAGCTTTTGTTGTTTTTAAATTTTTTTTTTTTTTTTTTTTTGAGACAGAGTCTTGCTCTGTCGCCCAGGCTGAAGTGCAGTGGTGCGATTTCAGCTCACTGCAACCTCAACCTCCTGGGTTCAAGCGATTCTCCTGCCTCATATCTGAAGAGCTGGGACCACAGGCACATGCCACCATGCCCCACCAATTTTTGTGTTTTTAATAGAGGCGGGGTTTCACCATGTTGGCTAGGCTAGTCTCGAACTCCTAACCTCAGGTGATACGCCCATCTTGGCCTCCCGAAGTGCTGGGATTACAGGCGTGAGCTGCCACGCTCAAATCAAATGCTTGTCATTTCTTTACCCTGGAAACATTGGGACTGTTCTAGCTATTTTGAAAGACAAAGTGGGTTACTGTTCGCCATGGTCACCCTACTGATGGGCTTTGGGCTCAGGCACCCCCTGTGGTGCTGGCCCGGCTGCCGTGCTGAGCAGGAGGGCTGTGCTGCACTCATTTTCAGTGTCCCTGGTGCCTGACCAGGGCCAACTTGAGGAGCACATGTACTATGTCAGATGAGCTCTGTGTGCATTTCATTCTTTGTGTGTGGAGCTGGTGCCATCCACCCCCAGCAGTAAACACAGTCTGGCTCTTCCTTGCAGGGCAGCTACGCTTCTGTATCCCCCCGACCCTGCCCGCTTCTCACTGGTTGGCGGAGACTCAGGCTGAGGCCTCTGTGATGAGGTGACCCTCAGAAGGGAGGGTTTGCCCACTGAGGTCTGCGCTCCCACGAGTAGCCAGGGGCTCCTCCTCCTCTGTGTGCAGGTGTCCCTTTTGTTCTCTGAACTTTGCTGGAATCCAGGGCTGATGGAGAACAACCTGGTCTGGGCATCCACAGAACAAGGTCTGAGTCAGGTGGCGTGGGGTAGGGCTGTGAGATGACCAGGGCCAGAGAGAAAGGGCGCCGCCTCCTGTTCAGCCTCCCTCTGGAATTGGTTGGGAGGGAGAGAGATCCCTACCCTTTTATCAAATAACTTTTCTCCCCCCATTTCCTAGTGATCAACAGAAGGGAGTGCCTGTTCTCATAAAGGAAGAAAGGCCCCTGTGCTCTGCGAAAGGAAGCCCATTCCATGTGAGCATAGATACATCTGGATGGAGCTGGGGTTGTATCTTTCCCCTGTTCTCCTCAAAACCTATTCTCTGGTGGAGAACTTATCACTCACACACGTGTGCATGGTAGACTTTCCTCTGCTCACCCATTTAGCATCTCTGGCAGGTCGTTGCTATTTCTCTCAATATGAACATTAATAAAGCGCAGAGGAAGCATATTCATGTGTTTCTGAAGACAGTCTTGAAGGAAAATAGGCAGGGTTCGGGAAGCTGTATGTTTCTGGCGGCACAGAACCTTATTTCCTTGGTTAGGGAAGAGCACATGATTGATAAGGGTGAATCAGGCATGCAAAGAGCTGCGCAGCTGGCTGACTGCTTCCTGCCTGGGCCCTGCTGAGAGTCGAGGGTCCATTCTAGAATCAAAGTGGGACCTGGGGGGGCACAGGTGCTGGACTGGGAGGCCTGAGGCATGAGCCATGCCAGCAGCTTGGGCATGTTCTGCATTTTGTCACTTTCTTCCTTCATCCATGTTTTGGGTCCAGAGCACAACCTCCTCTCCTAGTGCCTGTCTCTTGGCAAGGTGCTGACATCCGCAGGGAGAGAGACGGAGCATGGCCCCAGGTGTATGTTGTCCCTAGAGTTCATGAGCACTGACGTGGCCCCACTGCATCCATGCTAGAAATCTGCTGGCTTTGAAATGCACCTCTGTTCTGATTATGTGCTCCACTTGGCTCGTCATTTCTTTGTTTTATACATTTGAATGATACTCATTCTTTGGAAAATAAGAGCTGTTTCTGGTAAGTTCAGAATCTCCCCTTGTATGGTTTATTTATTTATGATTTTTTGAGATGGAGTCTTGGTCTGTCGCCCAGGCTGGAGTGCAGTGATGTGATCTTGGCTCACTGCAACCTCTGCCTCCGGGTTCAAGCGATTCTCCTACCTCAGCCTCCCGAGTAGCTGGGACTATGGGTGTGTGCCACCATGCCTGGCTAACATTTTTTTGTATTTTTAGTAGAGACGTGGTTTCGCCATGTTGGCCAGGCTGGTCTCAAACTCCTGACCTCAGATGATCCACTGGCCTTGGCCTCCCAAAGTGCTAGGATTATAGGTGTGAGCCACTGTGCCCAGCCCCCTTGTATAGTTTAGTAGCTTTCATGAGTATGGCAATCTGGAATATTCACTTTTTGCCCTAACAACCATTAGGAGGAAATAGTGGAAGAGGACACATGCCTTCTCTGTGGACAACCTAGACAGGGTCTGAAACAAACTCCAGGCTGAGTCTGTGGGAAGGTGCTTGGTGGGCATTCACCACTCTGTGTTCCTCTGCAGGAGCTGAGGAGAGGAGAGGCCTGGGCTGTTCTGTTGGGTGAGCTGCAAGGCCAGAGGGATAGAGTTAATCATGTTACATAATTATTGACAAGGATATGTTTTTTTCCCCCGAGAGGGCATTTATGTCTTTTATCTGAAGCCAAAATATGTCAAAACCTTTTATTACCATTTTACAAACTTGGCTATTTCCCACTGTCTCCTGCAAATACCTTTCCAGCCCTATCTTGTATTAATTTAATCTTCACCTGCTTAAGCTATTTATTGTACTTATACATAATAGTAATTCGCAATGAGGTCTTTGTGTGCAGGTATTTCTCCCGGAATGCCTGCAGCGCTCTCTTGGCCTAGGACCCGGCTGTCAGGTCCCATCCTCAGTGGCCCCCGCCCCACTGCCAGCTCTGTCCTGCACCCCCGCATGCGTGATGCATCCACACATTGTGTTTATCCAGTCATCTGTTGACTAACATTCGGGCCATTTCCACCTTTTGGCTGTTGTGAATAATGCTGTTGTAAACGTGTGCACAAGTCTTTCTCTCAGTGCCTGTTTTCACTTCTTCTGGGTATTAGAGTTGCAATTGTAAAGTAAGTTCCTTAAAGGAAGGAGTTGCGAAGTGTGCTTATTTGGATTGCCCATGGAATTAAACTCCAGTGCTCCCAGTGGCTTGCGTGGTGCACACCTTTTCCCCGCCCTTCTATCTGTCTCCACCTCAATCTCATTGCTTCACTGGCTCCTTCTTGGAAGGATCCTCTTATATTTCTGGTTACCAAGATTTGCCTTCTTATAGAAGTGATAATCTTGATTGATGTATTTTCCCTAAATGCCACACTGCTTTCCTTCTTTCTTTCTTTCTTTCTTCTTTTTTCCTTCCTTCCTTCCTTCCTTCATTCCCTCCCTCCCTCCCTCTTCCTTCTTTCTTTCTTTCTTTCTTTCTTTCTTTCTTTCTTTCTTTCTTTCTTTCTTTCTTTCTTTCTTTCCCTCTCTCTCTCTTTCTTTCTTTTTTTGGAGATGGAGTCTTGCTCTGTCACCCAGGCTGGAGTGCAGTGGTGCAATCTCGGCTCACTGCAGCCTCTGCCTCCCATGTTTAAGCGATTCTCCTGCCTCAGCCTCCTGAGTAGCTGGGATTACAGGTGTTCACCACCATGGCCCGCTAATTGTTTTGTAGTTTTAGTAGAGATGGGATTTCACTATGTTGGTCAGGCTGGTCCCTAACTCCTGACCTCAGGTCATCCACTCACCTCAGCCTCCCAAAGTGCTGGGATTACAGGCATGATCCACCACGCCTGGACCAAATGTCACACATTTCTGATCATTTTTGGGACTGTTTAATCACTATGATGTTGTCTAAGTTTAGTTGGATGTCCTTGCTTTGGCCAGGGTGTTATAACCACTCATAGATCACAGCTCCTTTCTGGCTTTTGACCCCTCCTTCCTGCTTTCTTTTGGTTACTGGACTTTATTGACCTAAATAATGAAAAAAGTGGCTCAAAAACGTAATGGATGTTTGAACACTGAAGACTTCTGCCTCAAGTCTTTGGAAGCCTCCTTGGTATCTTGTGTGGTATCAGCTTTGAGGACACGGGGTAGAAACAGATGCAGCTGTTTGTTACAAGCCTTTCCTTTTACAGATTTATGGGTGAATATATATATATATATATTTGAGATGGAGTCTCGCTCTGTCGCCAGGCTGGAGTGCAATGGCGCGATCTCGGCTCACTGCAACCTCCACCTCCAAGGTTCAAGCGATTCTCCTGCCTCAGCCTCTCGAGTAGCTGGGACTACAGGTGCATGCCACCACACCCAGCTAATTTTTGTATTTTTAGTAGAGACGGGGTTTCACCATGTTGGCCAGGATAGTCTCTGTCGCTTGACCTTGTGATTCACCCATCTCGGCGTCCCAAAGTGCTGGGATTACAGGTGTGAGCCACCCTGCCCTGCCTATGGGTGAATATTTTTAGGAGAAAAGCACTAAACCTCTCTGATGCATTTGTATAAACTGGATTTGCCTTGTTCCATTTCCCTTTTGCCAACATGATTGTTTTTTCTTTTTAGGGAGAGGTAGAGAAGAAAGAAGAAGCGCTTGTGGGCATCTGAAGTCTGATTAGGCTCCTTGGAGTTGCAAGGAAGCAGCAGCGGCCCAGGCCCCAAAGGCACAGAGAGCTCAAGGCGGAGGAGTTAGCTGGACGCTGTCAAGCTGAGAGCTTCAACTGGGGAGCTTTGAAGATTTGAACAAGACATGAAGAATGTTTTATAGCCTGTGCTTTAGAAGCGCCTATGCTGTGATTTTCCACCACACCAGAAAGGCGCCCAGTGGTTACTTTTCCAAAAGGTCAGAGGGCAAATGGACCGTTCCCCTTAATTCGGCGGGAAAATGCTGCTTGATAAGACACCATAATTCTTGTGCTCACACAGAGGCGATAAGCGGAGATCTGGCGAGGACTGCCTCTTCAGGTGGGCTTCTCTGAGATAACAGAGAAATTTTCCTGCTGTAGTGAATTTTCCTGCTGTAGCTTCTTGGCACCAGGGACATTAATGAGTCACAGGGTGTCTAGGACCCACAAGTACGGGTGATTCCAGGTGACCTCCGCGCAGTGATCCTGGTTTAGGGAGGGGACTGGCAGGACACCGGGCAGCTGAGCGCCCACAGTGGAGGAGGCGGCCCCAGCAGTGGCCAGAAACAAGTTCCCTGAGTTGAAATGGCAGGACTTGGGCTTGAGGTGAGATGGAGGTCAGGAACTAATTGCAGGGTCTCTTCACCATCCCTGGCCTTGTCATTGCCAGCCCTTCCCGATGGCACCCCCTTTCCTCCTCCTCCTTGACATCCCTGAAAATGTTCACTGGGAGCAAATGAAAAAGCTTACGGTGGATGCTGAATATGAGGGTGTCAGCAGCTGCGTCAGGATGTGGCCTGAAGGAGGAGCATTTGGGAGGAGAGGGAGAGAGGCCGTGGAGTGGAGATTCAGAATAGCCTTGCTTCCCCCTTACCCCCAACACACAGTAGGACCTGGCTGGCTAGCAGAGGAAAGCACGCTGGGCCGAGGCCAACGGCAGAATGCGGACCGTGGTGGAGGGTGGCGGCCAGGGGTTGTCCCGCTTCTCCCCCTACTGCTCCTTCCCTGCCCGCCTCTCCCAGTGATGAGCGGCCCAGTCGTGCTCCTTTACTCCCGTGCTCCCACACTTAGGAAATGATAGTGTGTGTTTGGTCCACGGGGCGGGCGTCCCCGGGGGTCGGAAGCAGCTGCCTGAGCGCGGGCCTTGGGAATGGCAGGGAGGTGGCACCCTCCTTCCCCTCCATCAGTTTCAGTGAGAATCAAGTGGTTCCCACGGAGCCTCTCGGTTTCCTTTTATTTTTGTAATTTTGAAAATATGCATAACATGCACTTAACTATGTGTGTAATGCCCGTAGACTCAATTTCCAGTTTAAGTAAAAGGCCACCATCCTGTTTGAGGTCTCTAGGTCCCTCCGGAGCCATCCCTTTCTTCTGTCCCCTCCAAGTACTGTATCCTAAATTTTGTGTTTATCCCTCCCTTGATTTTCTTCACAGTTCTTCCACACGTTTGTTATTTTAAACAACAGCTAGTTTGGTTTTTCTGATTTTTGAGTTTAAAATAAACAGAATCATACTTTATATATTATTCTGTGATTTCTAGTTTCATTCAGTTCTGTGTGTCTCTGAGATTTATCCATGTTTTTTGTGTAACTGTGATTTATCTACTTTCCCTGCCATCTGGATTTTAGTTGAAGGAGTATACCATCCTTTTGTTATGGACATTGGATTGGCGTCTGGCTTTCTGCTACTGCAGAAAGAGCCACTGTGCCCACTCTCTTCCATCTCTTCCTGCACAGACACAGCAGGTCTCCAAGGCCCTTTTTTCCCCAGAGGTTGAGTTGAGGGGTCATAGAGCACATGCCTTCTTCACATTTTCTAGATTCTGCTCGGTTGGTTTCCAAATGGTTTTTTTTTTTTTTTTTCCAAATGGGTTGTAACAATTACTTTCCACTGGGCATGTGCACAGAGTTCCACATCCTTCCCCTTCCCAAGCGCTGGTATTGTCAACGTTAAAATCTTTGCCAGTCTGCTGGGTATGAAATGGTTTCTTGTTGTGGCTGCTAATGAGCTTGTGCGTTTTCATGTACTTAGAGCCGTTTTTTATTTCTCTCTGTGAAGTGTTTTCAAGCCTTTCCCCATTTCATCTCAGAGTTGTTTACTGATACAGTTCTTTATATATATGTTATAGACAATAATCCTTTGTCAGTTACAGATGTGGCAAATATTTTCTCCCAGAGAATTTTTTTTCATTCCCTTTATAAGGTCTTTTTAGAACAGAATTTAAACATTTTAGTTTAGTAGAAATCATCAATCTTTCCCTTTATGTTTTTGCTGCGGTATTTTAAGAAATTCCTCACTGTCTTGATGTGTTCATATTTTGCCTTTTAAATTTTGTGGTTTTTGCTTTTCTCCTTTGTCTTCAATATACTAGAATTGATTTTTGTATATGGTGTGTGCTAAGAATCTAATTTCATTTTTTTCCATAGGTATAATCAATGTCCCACCACCATTTATTGAATAATCATCTTTTCTCTGCTAATCTGCAATACCAGCTTGGGCATACAGAAAACTTCCATTCGTGTGCTGGTCTAGGTCTAGCCTCCATTCTGTTCTCTTTGTCAATTTGTCTGTCTCTAAATAAGTACCACATTATCCTACTTTCTGTAGTTTCACAATGATTTTTGATATCTGTGAGTCAATTCCTTACACCTTATTCTTATTTTAGGAGTGTCTTGGCTATTCTCTGCTTTTTACTCCTATGCATTTTTCAATCAGTTTATCAAGTTTCACAAAAAAACTTGTTGGGTTTCAAATGAAATTGCATTGAATCTATAGATCCACTGGGGAAGAACTAATATCTCTATTATATTTAGTATTTTAATCCACAAACATGATGGCTTATTTCTCTGTTTAAATTCTTTAGAAAGATATTTTAATAAAGTTTTATAATTTTCCTCACAAAAATCTTATTTATCTTTTGTTAGATTTAGTGTTAGTTGTTTTGTATTTTTTTCATGTGTATCTTTTAAAGAATACATTTTCAAACTGTTTGTTACTGGGATATTTTTGCTGAGTTCTAGAGTATATGCATTCTTCACATTTTCTAGATTCTGCTCAGATTTTTAAAAACTTCTTATTTGAAATAATTATAGGTTCACAGGAAGCTGTGAAAATGTATGGGTAGATTCAGTGCTTCCCCCAGTTTCCCCCAGTGGGTACAAGTTTTGTAAACATAGCGCAGAATCAAAGCCAGGACCTGACACTGGTTCGAGGTGTGTGCGGTTCTGTTTATCATGTGGGCGGGTTAGGATAAGCAGCACCAGAGCCAGGCTGGAGCTCCTCCAGCCCCACGACAATCCCACTGTGCCACCCCTTCACCGTTCTCCTTCCACCCCGGCCCCCCATCATCACTCACCTGGGCGCTCGTCTTTTTTCCATTTCTCTAATTTTGTCATTTCAAGGACTTTATATAATGGAATCATACAGCATGTGACTTTTGATATTGACATTTTCCCCTCAGCCTAATGCCCTTGAGACACACCCAAATTGTTGCATGTGTCAAGTGTTAGTTCTTTTTTCTGCTGAGTAGGGGGCCATGGTACAAGTGCATCACAGTTTGTCTAAACATTCACCTGCCGTAGGACATTTGAGTTGTTTCTAGTTTTTGGCTATCACAAATAAGGCTACCATGAACAATTGTGTAGAATCTTTTGTGTGGGTATACATCTTCATTTTTCTGGTACGAATGCTCAGGATTGGTGGTATGATAGGTATATCTTTCTTAATTTTTTTTTTTTTTTTTGAGACAGAGTGTCACTCTTGTTGCCCAGGTTGGAGTGCAATGGCGTGATCTCTGCTCACTGCAACCTCCGCCTCCCAGGTTTAAGCGATTCTCCTGCCTCAGCCTCCCGAGTAGCTGGGATTACAGGCACATGCCACCATGCCTGGCTAATTTTGTATTTTTAGTAGAGAAAAGGTTTTACCATGTTGGCCAGGCTGGTCTCGAACTCCTGACCTTAGGTGATCTGCCTGCCTCAGCCTCCCAAAGTGCTGGGATTACAAGTGTGAGCTGCCGTGCCCAGCCAGGTATATCTTTCATTTGTGAAGAAACTGCTGATTGGTTTTCTGAGTGACTCTACCCTTTTACATTTCCACTAACAATGTATAAGAGAACCAGTTTTTATGTATCCTCACCAGTGTGTGGTATTGTCACTATTTCTAATTTTAGCTATTGTAATAGTTGTGTGGTGATTCTCATTGTGTTCTTTTCCTTTTCTTTTTTTTTTTTTTTTTTTTGAGACAGCCTCACTTTGTCACCAAGGCTGGAGTGCAGTGGCATGAACATGGCTCAGTACAGCCTCGACCTCCTGGGCTCAAGTGATTCTCCTGCCTTAGCCTCCTGAGTAGCTGGAACCACAGATGCATGCTACCACGCCTGGCTAATTTTTGTATTTTTGGTAGAGACGGGGTTTTGCCATGTTGCCCAGGCTGGTCTCAAACTCCTGAGCTCAAGCGATTCACCTGCCTTGGCCTCCCAAAGTTTTGGGATTACAGGCGTGAGCCACTGCACCCGGCCTCATTGTGTTCTTAATGTTCATTTCTCTAATAGCTAATGATGTGGAGCATCTTTTCATGTGCTTGCCATCCATATGTCCTCTTCAGTGAAATGTCTCTTTATGTGTTTGCTCAGTTTTTAATTGGATTTTCAAAAATTACTGTTGAGCTTTCAGAGTTCTTTATGTGTTCTAGATAGGAGACCTTTGTCAGGTGGACGATATGCAGATATTGTCTCCCAGTTTGTAGTTTGCCTTCTCATCCTCTTAACAGAGTCTTTTGCAGAGCAATAGATTTTACTTTTGGTGAAGTCCAATTTACTGATATGTTTTTCTTTTATGGATTGTGCTTTTGGTGTCAGATCTAAGAAATCTTCCTAAGCCCTACCTAGTTCCTGAAGATTTTCTCCATTTTTTTTATCTAAAAGTTTTGTAGTGTTATGTTTAAACCTGAGATCCATTTTGAGGTAACTTTATTTATTTATTTATTTATTTTGAGATGCAGTTTCGATCTTCTTGCCCAGGCTGGAGTGCAGTGGCATGATCTCGGCTCACTGCAACCTCCGCCTTCCGGTTTCAAGTGATTCTCCTGCCTCAGCCTCCTGAGTAACTGGGATTACAGGCACCCGCCACCATGCCTGGCTAATCTTTATATTTTTAGTAGAGATGATGTTTCACCATGTTGGCCAGGCTGGTCTCGAACTCCTGACCTCAGGTGATACACCTGCTTTGGCCTCCCAAAGTGCTGGGATTACAGGCATGAGCCATCGTGCCCATCCCATTTTAAGGTAACTTTTATATGAAGTGTGAGGTTGAGGTTGACATTCATTTTCCTAATAATTTGTGGATCTCCAATTTGTTGAAATAACCATTCTTCCTCTACTGAGTTACTATCCTTTGGCTGTACTTTTTTTTGTTTGTTTGTTTGAGACGGAGTTGTTTGAGACAGAGTCTTGCTCTGTCACCAGGCTGGAGTGCAGTGGCACGATCTCGGCTCACTGCAACCTCCACTTACCAGGTTCAAGTGATTCTTGTGCCTCAGCCTCCCTAGTAGCAGGGATTACAGGCGTGTGCCACCACATCCAGCTACTTTTTGTATTTTTAGTAGAGACAGGGTTTCACCATGTTGGCCAGGATGTTCTCAATCTCTTGACCTCGTGATCCACCTGCCTTGGCCTCCCAAAGTGTTGGGATTACAGGCGTGAGCCACTGTGCCTGGCCTTGTATGCATTTTTATGCCTTTTCTTAGGTGAACCCAGTGTAATCGTGTGGACAAGATGGAAGAAGAGTCAAGAGAGACAGGAAGCAGGAGTGGTGAGATGCATAGGTGCTGGCTTTGAAGATGACGCCCACTCTTCCCTTTTACGTAATGTTGCATGCCTGTTTGTCAGATTTTCTGGTTTTCCTCCTTATGATACCTCTCACAGTGGGAAGTTATGCATCACCACATTTTAAAACTCCGGAGCAGCTACGTGATATACCCTAGGCCAATGAAGTGTGTGCAGAGTGAATGTGAGCTGTTTCCAGGCAGATGCTTTTGCAGCTGGTATGGGGATGGCCTCTTTATTCTTGGCCATAAGACTGGATGTGCTTTGAAAGGAGATACTCTGTTGACCCCGTTCTGGAGGAAGATGACATGGAGCAGTGCTGCACTTGGCCCTGGAGAGCGTGACTGCTATAGAAAGCTGTGGAGATCGTGGGTTGTTGGTCATGACCAATACCCTCTTCCTCCTTGATACTCAGGTCACTATATTTCCACCTTGCTCATCCTGCTCCATGTGATGGAAAGCTGGTCTCTGTTGCCTGCATCTGCCAGGCTCCCTTTCCTTCTGGCTTCTGGTTGGGCTCAGCCAATGGAAGGCCCCAGTGAGACAGTGGAGAGGGGAGAAGAGAGTGCCAAGGTGTTTATCCCCTGGCTTTTCCCTGCCAGGCAGTGGGTTAGGGATGGCTATGTTCCTTTACCTGAGGTCTCAGTGAGCTGGTAAGCACCCCTCCCCTTGCCCCTCAGACATGGAGGTAATGGCCTTTTGCTGTCGCTTCATCAGGTCAAACCTGTCATCTCCCTTAACTTCACCACTTCACTAAACCCCTCAATTACTCCCTGAGTCCCTGGGCATTGTCGCAGGGCAGATGAAACAAGTGAGAATGAGCCCATTGTGCAATTGCCGCTCCTGGAGGGATCTTCAGAATGCAGTCCCTTTCAGTGGGCAGGGCAGGCGCTAGAGAGCGTTGTCTGAGGGAATTAGGGTCAACACAGCATGTTCTACTTGCTGAGGATTTGTGCTGCAGCAATCACATATTTGCAAACAAATGTTTGACCCGAATTTGCAATCACTCTCATGATGTGCTGAATCCTGAAAAAGGGTTGTTATCCCAAAATTATAGGAAAGAAAACTGCCAATTTGGGAACTTCATGACATACTACAGGCCACCTACAAGGAGGCATGCAGCCGTGTTCATAGCTGTGGTAAGCAGAGTTTCTAAAATTGCCCTCAAAGATGCCCCACTCTGCCCCCGGCAACCCTTCAGCAGGAGGAAATAGTTTTCCTTGCTTATCTCACGTTCTGTGGCACAGGCGGTAAGGAGATCAGCCTGAGTTACCTGGGCGGGGCTACTGTTATCACAGGAGCCCGTAACAGCAGGGAGCTCAAGAAAGAGCTGCGGCAGAAGTGAGAGAGATTCAAAGCATGAGGATTCCATGCACTGCTGCCGCTTCAGTAAGCTGAGAAGGTTTGCCATTTCATCATATGTGCCTCCCTGATATGGTGACCAGAAAATCTGCGCAAACAAATGTAGGGCAAATCTAGGAAGGTGGAGGCTATTGCTGGCAGCAACCTGAAGGAGATGGTGGCTGTCGTTGGTTTAAATTGGGGTATCTCTGCTGTGAACTAGGCACCTGGAGTGTATTCGCAGCCCTCAGTCTCCCAGACACGGCCATGTGGGGTTGCCACGCCATGCCACAGCATGGCGGTAACTTCTCCTGAGTCTTTAAGTTGGACTGACACTAGTCTCTCCATGAGCTCCGGTGTAAACCAAGCTCTGAGCTACTTGACTCAGTGTAATAGAGAAAGCTCCTTTATTCATGGAAAGTTGGGCCACATCACCTGCACACAGGAAGAGCCAAATTCCAATTTCAGCTGATTGTGTCACATGGTCACAATGGATAATGAGGGATCCACATTTATACTACAAAATAATTCAAAAGTGCGTGTTCCGCAGACAGTCGGTGGGTATGTTAGAATCTGGAACTTAGCATTTCTAATTTTTTTTTGGCTCAATATGGGTTTATGCTATTCGTGCGTGTGGCCGTTTAGCAATCTGTGGTCTCTCAAAGGTCTGCAATGCAGGTGCTCATTTTGAACCATTTATTCAAATTATGTGTATTGCCTGATTGGTGGTATAATTTTTTTTTTTTTTGAGACGGAATCTTGCTCTGTTGCCCAGGCTGGAGAGCAGTGGCATGATCTTGGCTCGCTGCAACCAACACTTCCCAGGTTCAAGTGATTCTCCTGCCTCAGCCTCCCAAGTGGCTGGGACTATAGGCACGCACCACCATGCCTGGCTAATTTTTGTATTTTTAGTCAAGATGGGGTTTCACCATGTTGGCCAGGCTGGTCTCGAACTCCTGACCTCATGATCCATCTGCCTCAGCCTCCCAAAGTGCTGAGATTACAGGCGTGAACCACTGCACCCAGCCTGTGGTAGAGGTTTTCAAAAGATAATATAATTAGGCCAGGCACAGGGGCTCACGCCTGTAAATCCCAGCACTTTGGGAGGCTGAGGTGGGCAGATTGCTTGAGCCCAGGAGTTCGAGACCAGCCTGGGCAACATGGCAAAATCCTATCTCTACAAAAAAAAAAAAAAAAAAAAAAAAATTAGCTGGGTGTGGTGGTGTACACCTATAGTCCCAGCAGCTACTTGGGAGGCTGAGGTGGGAGGATCGCCTGAGCCTGGGAGGTCGAGGCTGCAGTGAGATGAGATCGAGCCACTGCACTTCAGCCTGGGTGACAGAGTGAGACCCTGTCTCAAAAAATAAAAAAAAGATGGTATAATTAAAAGTTGCTTATACACACCCAGAGACCTTGGACAGCATGGACCATGCATTTGAGGAATTAAAAAAATACAATAAAAAATAAACAGAAGTATAACTGTATCAACTACTTCCATGAGGTTTGAAACAAAGTTATCTGCATAGTTAGTGAAAGACCATTTGCTCTTGTTCACTGTGAGAAGGAAGTTCTGCCAGGTGGTGGTCATGCATTAAAGGACAATTGCACAACAGAAGTGAGCTGCAGCACGCTGGTTTGATCCACTCAAATAAATCAGTTTGTGGTAATAAAGTATTTTCTTTCCTTTTGAAAAAGTCATGAAAACCGTGTTGCCTCTAGAATCTATTGTTTCACTAATCTCTCCCAACTTTCTTGACTATTCTTGGGAAGAAAAGCTTTTCCTCTTGAAATATTCCCTTTCTTACTTTAAGCCCTAACAACTTGCAAATGTCAGTGAAAGAACAAAGGCCTTTTGCAGAGAAGCTGCCATGGAGGAAAATCAATGGAGACGCAGTCATTTCATGGGGGCTTTCCTGGTGACATGCCAGCAGTCATCCAGCCCCTCCCATGTGGAGGGCACAGCCTCAGTGGCAATGCAACTGCCTCCAGCAGTGGCCTTTCCTGGTGGGGAGACAGAGATTTGAGGCTGCAAGGAAGTTGACAAAGACTGGAAACCATTGGTGGACTTTCAGTAAGACTCTGAAATATATTTTTGATCACTTTTCTATTGACCAAAATATTTTCAAATTGATGTGGCCTAAAGGCTACCACATCACATCACCTGTCCTTGGATATAGAGAAGTTGGGGCCTGGGAGAGTGTGTAATGAGTAGTAGAAAAAGGATGAACTATCTAGTAAATGCCTTTGGGAAGTTGCCTCCCCAGTGGAGGGAAAAAGAGTCCTGTCTTTCACCAAATACACAAGAAAATTCTAGAGGAAATACATTCCGAAAATGGAAAACCTAAACCTTGAAAAAGTGCTATAAGAAAATATAAGGGGATATTTTCATGACTTTGGGGTTACAAAGGGTTTACTAGGCAAGACTCAAAATCCAATAACCATAGAGTAAATGATAGACAGATTTGACCAACAAAACCAAAACAAAATAGAAACCCCAGCCACTTCTTTTTTTTAATTTTTAAATTTTTAGTAAGGATCTGTCACTTTTATATAAAGGTATAATCTACAAGAACCTATATTTAATCATTCCCCTCAAACATCTACCCAGAAATAGATAATGAAACTAGAAAAGATGCTTTGGGGGAAAACTTGATTTTGGAATTGTACCAATAGATGTGAATTCCAGGTGAGGTTTCAGTTACTCACTGGGTGATCTTGAGCAGGTAACCTCTTTTAATGCCTAAGATTTTTACTTTAAAAAAATTAGAAATAATAATACCTATGTCATAGAGATGCTATAGGTATTAATGAAATATATGTAAGAGACAACATATGCATATTGTTGGTGTAAATGTCAGTTTCCCTTCTCTTTCCCTCCTTGAACCAAACCACTTCTGATTAGTGAATGACACCATAAGCAAAGTTTAAACACAAGCTAAAGAGCCAGAGAAAATATCTGCCACACATGTAACAGAAAAAAGGCCATAGCTGTAATAGTTGAAGAGTGCACACCAGTCAATGAAAGAAGAAGATAAATGATAGAAGAGGCAGTAAAGTCAAGCCCAAGAGGGAAAAAAGAAAAAAAACCCTACTAATGACCAATCAATACTGCAAAGATGTTCATCCTCACTAAAAATGAGGGGAATGTACATACAAACATCAGTGAGATGTCATGGTTCATTGGTGAGATTGGACAACGTTCAGGAGGCTGAGACTGTATCTGAGGAGGTGGGGCCCAGGAAAAGATGCCCTCTCACCCCCCAGTGCATTCGAGTGCAGCTGTTTCGGTGCCATTTTAGCAATGGCCATCAAAATTTGGCAGGATCTGGAAAAGTTAAAAATGCACATTTTTGACCCAGTATTTCTATTTTTGGAATATGTCTTATATGAATACTTGCCTATAAACACAAAATGAATAAACAATAACATATATCTTGCATTATTACATAGTGAAAATTGGATGCAACCTTCGTGCCCATTAAGGGGGGAATAGTAAACATTTTTGGTACATATATAGATCTTGTGAAATATTATGGGGTATTACAAAACACGAGTTAGATATATAGATACATACACTTATTCTCCAATATATATTTGGTGAAATTCTTGTTTATCTCAAAAGCAGCAAGAAAAAAATCTCTATGCACAAGGGATCTAGCAGACAACAGGCACTCAAAATGTGCTTGTTGAATGAAATCTATGTAAACACATAGAAAAAGTTCTGGAAGGGCATGCAGCCAAGTGTCCTCAGCAGTTACCCAGAGGGAAGGGACAGGATTTGGGAGAGAGGGAAGAGGACTTGTACATCATGCGTTTCTGTATTGTTTGCATTTTAATTTTGTGACAGTTTTAAGGAAGTTGTGCCCTTCCAAAAGTAGGTGACTTCACTGTCATTTATACAGTAAAGATGGTCATGGTGCCAGCGATTTTAGAGCAAATGTTATTTCCCTTCCTGGTGTTTTGGAAAGAAGCCTCGGAGCTGGAAGGATGGGGAATGCTGGCTACAGCTGAACACCCAGGAAGGATGCGGTCTCCCTGAGTCATACCTACTCACTCATCTCTTCACTCCACAAACAACAACAATCTGGCTTTTGCGCCCACCGTCCCCAAAATGGTTTTGCTCAGATTACCAAAAACTTCTTGGCTACCAAGTCAAATGAGCATGTTTTAGTTCTCATATCACTTGACCACTCCTCTTTGCAATATTCTCTTAACTTTCATAAAATCATGCACTTCTGGTGTTTTCTTCATCTGGGCTACTTTTTCTCAGTCTCTTAGCAGTTTCTCTCTCCATGCTTCTCAGATGTTAGTGCTCTTTAGGGTTTGTCTCCAGGTGTCTTCTCTTCCTTTTCTAGGTTCTCTGTGGTCTTCCTGCATGACCCCCACACTCTCAAGGCTGAACTGCAATCTCCAGGCCCTGTTTCTAGGACAGACCCTTCCTCTATGCTCCAGACCTGTGTCTCTGATGGTAACTATGCATCTCTACCTGGGAATGTCCTGAGTGTCTCAAAATCAACATATTCAGAGTCAGACTAATTTCCTCCAAATGCGAATCAGCTGCCTCGCCAGGCCCTGGCTCCATGACTGGCACCACACTGTCCAAACAGAAGCCTGGATGTTGTTCTTGATGCTTCCCTTTCATTAGCTCACTGCCCTCAGTGGGAGGCCAAGCCGCCAATCCTTTACTAATGCCTCATGAACCCAATCCATTCTGTATTCTCCATCCCAAAGCCACTGTCTTTGGTTTGAGTCACATTTCTTGGCCTAGATGAGTGGAACAGTTTTCTGAATGGTCTCTCCCCTCCTGTCTGCTGTGCTGCAGTGTATAGTGCTCCTTCTCACAGTTCATCTGTGGCTGTCCATTAATCTTAGGATACAATGTAAGGTTCTTAAGGATCTGGCATTTACCTCTCATTCCCTCCTGCCTTCTCTGCTAGCCTTGCACACAGAAATACTTGCAGTCCTTCTAATGTGCTGTGTTCTCTTGCCACATTTTATTTAAAGGATATTTACTGAACACTTACTAAGTACCAGGTTGTAATCTACATGCCCCCTTGTCCCTGCCCTCGTGCGGGCATACATTCTAGCAGGGGAGGCAGAAAATAAATGTGCAGGCCAGGTGCAGTGGCTCATGCCTATAATCCCAGCACTTTAGGAAGCCGAGGCGGGCGGATTACCTGAGGTCAGGAGTTTGAGACCAGCCTGGCCAACATGGTGAAACCCTGTCTCTACCAAAAATACAAAAAGTAGCTGGCTGTGGTGGCTCTGGCCTGTAAACCCAGCTACTCGGGAGGCTGAAGCAGAAGAATCGCTTGAACCCAGGAGGCGGAGGTTGCAGTGAGCCAAGATCATGCCATTGCACTACATCCTGGGCGACAGAGTGAGATTCCATCTCAAGAAAAAAAAAAAGCATGCAGATAAATAGGACCTTGTAATGTAATGATAGATGCTGTGGCGTAAAGACGGCAATAAGACAGAAAGTGTGGCATAAAAGCGGTGTGGGAGTGTGGTCCTCTAGCTAGGAGGTCAGGGAGGTCCCTGTGACCAGGTGATGCTTGAACTAAGAGCAGTTTGGCTAAGATTCTGGACAGTGCACTCCACGCAGGAACAAGCAGTGCGAAGGCCCTGTGGCAGGAGCAGGCTTGGCGCGTGCTCCAGACAGAAAGGAGGCCAGCCATGCGGCGTGGGAGAAGGAAGCGCAACCTCATGATGCTTTTGGATGCGGGTAAAATAAACCCCAACTCAGGTTGACTTAAACTGTAGGGAAACTGGTGATCTATTGCCGACATTCTAGAAATAGGTGAGCAGGGTTTGTTTGTCTGAGACACCACCATGTCGCCAAGGCCCCAGGACTATCCGTCTCTGGCTTTGCTTTACTCTTCCGCTATTGCTTAGTTATGGGACCAGAAGCTAGGTGAACGACAGAGCCCCCACGGTCAAATTCTCCCACGGCCACATCGGGGATAAAAGGGGGACTTCTCTGCCTGGGCCTTCTCGCGAGGAAAGCCCTTCTTAGGCCCGGCGGCCTTTCCCGCAGGGCTTGCTGTGCACAGCGAGGCGGCATGTGTAGGAGGGCGAATGTGCTGGAAGCGGAGATGGGCCATGGGAAGCCTCTGAAAGTTTGAACATGTAACTCAGCTCCAGGCTGCTGAATCTCCTGTGGAATTGTAACCCCCAGTGTTGGAGGTGGGGCCTGGTGGGAGGCGTTCTGGTCATGGGGTTGGGGTGGAGGGCAGGAGAATCCCTCGGAGCTCGGTGCTGTGCTCCAGATGGTGAGGGATTTTGCCCAGATCTGGTTGTTGTAAAGTGTGACACCTCCCCCGCTTGCTCCTGCTCCCGCCATGTGGGACGCCTGCTCCCCCTTCGCCTTCCGCCAGCTATTGGAAGCTTCCCCAGGCCTCCCCAGAAGCAGATCCCCTGCTATGCCTCCTGTACAGCCTGCAGAACCGTGAGCCAGGTTTTCTTTTGAAGTACTCAGTCTCAGGTATTTCTTTATAGCAATGCAAGAGCAGCCTAATACACCCTGCCTCTAAACAAACAAACAAACAAACAAACAATAACAAAAAACAGAAACAAAAATTAGCCGGGCCCAATGCTGTGTGCCTGTGGTCCCAGCAATTCAGGAGGCTGAAGAAGGAGGATCACTTGAGCCCAGGAGGTTGAGGCTGCAGCAGGCGGTGATCAGGCCATTGCACTCACCACTGCACTCCAGCCTGGGTGGAAGAGCCAGACCCTGTCTCAAAAAAAGAAACAAAGAACAACCAAGCCCTGGGACACAAGAATCTGAAGGCCAGGAAAAGGAAGAGGGGCCAGCAAATACACGCAAGAGAAGCAAGAGAAGCAGTCAGGTGAGTGAGGAAAACCCAGTCTCCCAGGAAAGGTGCAGTCATTGGTGGTTTCAAATGCTGCTGAGAGAGCAAGTGCCCAGAAAGCAAATGATAGGTCACTGAGTTAGGAATTTGGAGGCTATGGGTGGCCTGAAAAAGCTTTTTCATGAAGAGATGAAGACAGAATTCTTACTGGAGTGTAATGAGGAGAAAGTGGGAGGTTGGAGTGCAATGAGGAGAAAGTGGGAGGTGAGGGATTAGCTACAATTTGTTGGGGTTCAATCAAGGAAGCAGCACCACTGTGCATGGAGTGGAGTGAGATCGTGGGTGCAGGGAGTGTCTTGCAAAGCTGTGGAGAGGCTTGGGAGGTGAGGGTCCACAGGAGGGAAGCTGCAGGGTGAAGAGCGGAGGGGAGGGCCCGCAGGAGGGTGGGTGGATGGAGGGTGGGGAAGGTAGGGTAGTTGGAGGGTAAGGAGAGGAGGGCCCGTGGGAGAGTGGGCAGAAAATGAGCAAGGTCTCTCACCAAGGCCACAGGGCCGGGGTGGGCTATGGAGGCGTCTAGGTGCTGTTTTCTCTGCCTCAGGAGAAATATTCCAACCAGTGACATTTCCACTTCCCCTGCCCATCCACTGGGCTGTTTTCTTTCTTTCTTCCTTTTTCTTTTCTTTCTTTTTTTTTTTTTTTGAGATGGAGTCTCGCTCTGTCACTTAGGCTGGAGTGCAATGGTGTGATCTCGGCTCACTGCAACCTCTGCCTCCCAGGTTCAAGTAATTCTTCTGCCTCAGCCTCCCGAGTAGCTGGGACTACAGGCGCATGCCTGGCTAATTTTTTTTTTGTATTTTTAGTAGTGATGGGGTTTCACCGTGTTAGCCAGGATGGTCTCCATCCCCTGACCTCGTGATCCGTCCACCTTGGCCTCCCAAGTTGCTGGGATTACAGGCGTGAGCCACCGCGCCCGGCCCTCTTTCTTCCTTTATTTTTTGAGAGGGAGTCTCACTCTGTCACCCTGGCTGGAGTGCAGTGGTGCGAGCTCGGCTCACTGCAACCTCTGCCTCCCGGGTTCAAGCGATTCTCCTGCTTCGACCTCCCGAGTAGCTGGGGCTAGCACGCCACCACACCTGGCTAATTTTTTTTGTATTTTTAGTAGGGACGGGGTTTCGCCATGTTGGCCAGGCTGGTCTGGAGCTCCTCACCTCAGGTGATCCGCCCGCCTCAGCCTCCCAAAGTGCTAGGATTACAGGCATGAGCCACTGCGCTCAACCCCATTTTCTAATCGTCCTTTAAAATTCCACTCGAGCTGTACCTCCCTGAAGCCTTTCTGGAACTTTCCTGTGCTTCCTTCTGCCTGGCTGAAGGGTCCTGTGTGTGATCTGGGTGCCCTGTGCGTCTTGCTTGGCAGCCCCCACCGCTATTGGTGCAGCTCCCGGTGATTAGAAGGCGCCCCAAATGTTTGTAGGATTGGTGCAGACCTCCCAAGCTCCTGGAGGGCGGGTACTGTACAGCTCCATTAATACGGGCCTGAACCCACTCAGATGCGGGGAGCCAGGAGGGACAGTCAGTCGCATAAGGCCGGGACCTCCGGTCATGCGTTCTCACCCACTGCTCCTTTCACTTGTGCTAAAATGACCCCTTAATGTTCATGGGTCCTACTTCCCAGGAATCAGAAATTCTGGGACTCAGCGAGCACATTCACACTTGGTTTCTGTAAATCCTTTTGCTAGTATGTTTTGGGTCCTTCATCATCTTTCTGAATTATTTTCGTGGAAAGTCCCTACCAACACTTTAATTGATGTCCTTGGCATGTTTCTTTCTTTCTTTTTTTTTTTTATTTGAGACGGAGTCTCACTCTGTCGCCCAGGCTGGAGTGCAGAGGCACGATCTCGGCTCACTGCAAGCTCTGCCTCCCTGGTTCACGCCATTCTCCTGCCTCAGCCTCCCGAGTAGCTGGGACTACAGGCGCCCGCCACCACGCCCGGCTAATTTTTTATATTTTTAGTAGAGACGGGGTTTCACCGTGTTAACCAGGAAGGTCTCGATCTCCTGACCTCGTGATCCACCCACCTCGTCCTCCCAAAGTGCTGGGATTACAGGCGTGAGCCACCGCACCCGGCCGGCATGTTTCTTCTTTGATCTGTCCTTCTCGGTGTGAAGCATCAGCACAGGTTGTGGCATCAAAACTGCCAATGTGTAATGCTCTCATGCAGCTTCGAGATTTGTGCTCTGGGTAAACTATGGAGAGACCTGTCAGAGCAGTAGCATGTAAATTAGTTATGCCTCATGTATATATTTAAACAAGGCTAATACTTCGGGAGGCCGAGGTGGGTGGATCACCTGGGGTCAGGAGTTCCAGACCAGCCTGGCCAACATGGTGAAACCCCGTCTCTACTAAAAATACCAAAAATTAGCCAGGCGTAGTGGCGGGCGCCTGTAATCCCAGCTACTCAGGAGGCTGAGACAGGAGAATCACTTGAACCCAGGAGGCGGAGGTTGCAGTGAGCCGAGATCACGCCATTGCACTCCAGCCTGGGCAACAAGAGTGAAACTCTGTCTCAAAAACAAAAAACAAACAAACAAAAAAAAACAACAACCCAGAAACCAAAACCCCGCCCCCACAAAACCAAACAAGGCTAATAAGGGCACATCCCAAAGCCCTCTAACCCTGCAGGTGGCAAGGGCACATCCTCCCTGAAGCAGGAGCAACTCTGCTTCCAGGATTCTCTGAAGACTGCCCTTTGCACCCAGAGCTTCTTGATGTCATGGAGGAAACAAAAGCTCCTTCTGTGATCCTGAGGTGCCAGTTTGGCCAGCAAAGACAAAGGGACATTTTAATAAAGTCTCCAGACATTTACTTAGCCTCAAAATTACTTCTCCAAATTTGCACATTGTGCAACATTGTAGATCTTCAAATGTATTTCTGTGACTGGGAACTGGCTCCAATATGCCTTATGTTGTAACTTTTCTTTTTGTCATGGGGAGGGAGTAGAAAAGGGATTAGTTGTCTTTTTCCCCCTTCCAGAGAACTGCCAAAATAATTTCGACTGTCCCAGATGAAGTAAGTTTTAAAATTGTGGTTCTCCTGAGGTTCATTTGGAAAAAGACGGAGCAATTCTGAGAAACCAGCAGTAGGGGCTGCCAAGACACTCATTTCCCTGGCCATGGCTTCTGTTTCCTTGCACTGGGGTTGGCACGGGATTGCCAGTGTGCAGGCTTGGAGGGTCCCATTCAGACACTTGCCCTTGCTTGCCCAAAAGCCGGCTACCGGGCTCAGTACCTTCACTTTTCATTGCTGATTGTAATCCAGATATAAGAGAACTGTTCTGTAGACTCCTTTGCACCACCCGCCCTGGGGTTATGCTGCCTTTTGTGCCAGTGGGGGAGGCTTTCCTCCTGTTGGGTGGCGCCTGGGCAAGCTTGGCTCAGGCTGGTTTTAGAGGTGCTATTTCCGGGAACTAGAGATTGCAACACCCCAGTGTTGTATCTCTTCTGCCGCATCCCAGGGTTTGGAGATAGACAGGGAAGGGGCGTGGTGAAGGATTGGAAAGGATTACTCAGGGGCTATAGGAACCCTAGAATGTCAGAGCTGCACGTTGCTTTTAGACAGAGTTGTGGAGTAGAGGGACGGAAGTGATGGAGGCCGACTGACATGGAGGCTGACTGACAGAGATGGGGCAGTTCAGGCGGTGTGTGCCGACCTAAGACACTGCCTTGGGAGCATCTTCATACTCCAGCTTCATACTCCTCGGGGATATCAGTAATGCAGCAATTTTCAAATGGAAGTTTAGGGATGTTTAGAAAAGAGCAGCCCCTGGGGCTGCCTTCCTGAGTACTGTCCTACCACTACCAGAGGATAAGGACATTTAGCCTCCGAGTCTCCGCAGTCTCTGTTCTGCTGTCTGCGAAATGTGGCTATAGCGAGGAAATAATGGGATTGTATGCTGAGCAAGGCCTAACAAGTAGCAGGTGGCCACAGTAAGTGCATGCGTCATCATCTATACAGTCCTTTTATTTGAAAGCTGAACACAGCAAAGCCTAGATAAGCTTAGGAGATTTGCCCAACAGCACACAGCTTTCAGTGGCAGAGCTCAGGAACAGACCATCTCTCCTGACCCTTTCCCATTTCACCTGCTGCAATTCAAATCTTTTGGTTACATCCTCATAAAAGAGTAAACGGAAATGTTTTAATTAAAATTTTTCATACAGCTGCCCACTGTCTGGGAAGTGAGGAGCGCCTCTGACTGGCCGCCAACCATCTGGGAAGTGAGGAGCGCCTCTGCCCGGCCACCCTGTCTGGCAAGTGAGGAGCGCCTATGCCTGGTCACCCCGTCTGGCAAGTGAGGAGTGCCTATGCCTGACCACCCCGTCTGGGAAATGAGGAGCGCCTCTGCCCAGCCACCACCCCGTCTAGCAAGTGAGGAGCACCTATGCCCGGCCATTCCATCTGGCAAGTAAGGAGCACCTCTGCCTGGCCACCCCGTCTGGGAAGTGAGGAGTGCCTCTGCCCAGCTGCCCACCATCTGGGAAGTGAGGAGCACCTCTGCCTGGCTGCCCACCGTCTGGGAAGTGAGGAGCACCTCTGCCTGGCCGGCCACTGTCTGGGAAATGAGAAGCCCCTCTGCCCAGCCACCCCACCATCTGGCAAGTGAGGCGCGCCTCTGCCCGGCCGCCGCCCCGTCTGGGAAGTGAGGAGCGCCTCTGCCCGGCCAGCCTTGTGTGTGATCTTTTCTGTCTTCCCCAAGTTTGCATTTTTGACATTAAGTTTACTTTTTAATTAAAAGTTTTAAATTGGAGAATATAAAAAACAAACAAACAACAAAAAAAGTTTTTCATAGCCCGGGCAACATGGTGAAACCCCATCTCTACAAAGAATACAAAAAAAAGAAATAGTTGGGCATGGTGGTACACACCTGTAATCCCAGCTACTCGGGGCTGAGGTTGGAGGATCACCTAAGTCCAGTAGGTGGAGGCTGCAGTGAGCTGTGTTTGCACCACTGCATTCTACCCTGGGTGACAGAGTGAGACCCTGTCTCAAAAAAAAGAAGTTTTGCATGGTTACCTTTTTCAACTTCAAAATAATATTAGTGTGGAAATGAGAGATTTCATGGTGAGTGTCTGTGTGCAAGCAGGAGGTAGTGGCCAGTGTGCCCAGGTTCTGATGTTGTGGGGACACTGTCCTTGTGGAAACCTTCTCCAGGGTTGCTCTGTGCAATTTTCTGAAGCTTGGGCTGGGAACAAAGGAGGAAAGTCACTGTCCCTTTCCCTTCGTTGTTCGTGGGGGAAGGCAGATTAGGGAGTAAACCACTGACCACGTTGCTTAATAAACCAGTACAGTCATAGTATAGGGCCTGATGGTGGCCGATGCTCAGTGAGTGGAGTGGTTATTTTTGAGTGCCTTCCACAGGGGCACAAGCTATTGGTGCAAGACAGGCTGGCGCCAGGCACCTGATGCTGGCTCCACACAATGCCATCTTCCTGGTGTGCTAAGACCATGTGGGAAAACGAAGTTCAGAAGTGGTGATGAGTAATATCCTCACTGCACACTTTGGGGATTGCCAAGAACTCTCATATTGAGCGTGGAAGTTAAGAACACAGACTCCAGAATCAGATTTTCTGAGCTTGAGTCCTGACTCGGCCGCTTCCTCGCTGTGTGGTGTTGGGAAAGTTACTGAACTCCCGAAGCTCCATTAGGTCATTTGTACAAGGGTAAAAATAGTGTCTATTTCAAGGGATGGGATGAGATAACACTTGGAAAGTTCCTAGAAGTGTCGACTAGCACAGAATAAGGAAATCATTAACGCTAGCCATTGTTGTTATTATATTCATTATTTCTTTGGATCCTTACTCTGTACAGCCAGATAGGCAGGGTAGGTGGTGTTGCTCTCGTGTTGTCGGTGGCCATGGCCATATGACTTGCTCAAGGTCACGGAGCTAAAAAAGAGGATCACAGTCTCCTGAGCCCCATTTTAGTGCCTCACATATTTTGGTGTTTAATATCTCTAAAGACAGGAAATAGTTGGTGCGTAACCCCACAAAGGTAAAATTAAACCCAAAGGGTGAGGGTTGCATTTCCTCCTCTACCACGAATGCCTGACCACACCATTCCTGGGCTGTGAATCCTGTGGAGAGGTCTGGTTTCTCCCAGGCTACATACACTTTCTGCTCATCAATTTGTCTTTTTCCACCAGACTCAGTTATGAAACTAGTTCCCTAAGTTATTCCATGAAAATAAATGGTATTGTGGTCAAATCAGTTTGGGAGATAGAGCTACAAGATTTCTGTTTAGAAATTCACGATGCATATTGGTATATCAGAGGTTAAAAAGTCATGTAGAACTTTGTTGAACCCAGGGCCTCTCTTAGTTATTTGTCCACAAGACAAAGTCCACATTACATCTGTTATTATTCCACCAAACTAGTGCTGAGAGGAGGACACTCTGGGAAACACGGTGAAGCTGATTTATCTCCTGTGCTAGAACCTAGATGTGCAGATTCCCTCATCTGTCTGCTCATTCTGTAGATAGTCATGGAATCCCCACCTTGCGCCAGGCTTTGTGCTGGGCACGGGGAATTCTGTGGTGAGCCCTGCAGTCACATGGTCTAGCACTAGGGCAGCTGCACCCTCATGGGCTCTGCAGGCATTCATCAAGTAATCTAATAAAATAAATATACAATTAGAAACCAAGAGAGAACTATTTAGAAAACTATTCTGTAGTATCCCTCAGTGAAAGAGATGGATGTGTCCGGGGAAGTGAGGGGGAGGAGCGGCGGGGAGAGAGCCTGCTGCAGGGAGAGAGGAACAGGTGCAGAGGCAGGGGACCGGGAGGGCCACTGAAGAGGGGAGTGGAGGCCAATGTGACAGGCACACAGACGACAGGGATGGCAGTATCCTGGGTGAGTGACAGACAGGTGGGACCAGTTCCCGCAGTGGACCCTCATTTGTGTGGTTAAGAACCATGGGAAGCCAATGAACTGGTCAGGGCTGGGATTATGGTGGGGTGAGTGACAGACTTGCCTGAGGCACAAATTTAAGGATCCCCCTCAAAACTCAATAATCAAGATAAGCAATACAATATTAAAAAAATCAGTATTAGTGCCAAAAAATCCAGGATGAACAAAATATCAAACTTCTAGGCAAAGAGAGGATCCCACAGTACCGTGACAGGCCTGTGGCAAAAGGGAAGATGTAGCCCCAAGTACGTTCCCCCTTATCTGTGGCTTTTTGCCTTCTGCTGTTTCAGTTACCTGCAGTCAACCACAGTCTGAAAATATTAAATGGAAAATTCCAGAAATAAGCAACTTACATGTTTTAATTTGCATGTCATTCTGAGTAGCATGATGAAATCTCAGACTGTCCTGTGTTGGGATGTGAATCATCTCTTTACCCAGAGTATGCACCGCTGTACACGCTATCTACTCATTAGTCATTGAGCTCATCTGCTCCTTGACAGCCAATCATTATGGCTTGATGACCCAGGATCGCCTGGAGCAGGTGAGTCTCCTCAAGGATGGCCAGAAGGTCAGAGGTAGCCTAATGCTAGGTCCTAATACCCACACCATTCCCCTAGCTTCATCTCACCATGTAGGCATTTTATCATCACAAGAAAAGAGAGGAACACACTACAAGAAGATAATTAGAGAGAGAACACATTCACTTTACTTTTATTACAGTATATTGTTAGTGTTCTCTTTCTTTTTTTTTTTCTTGAGATGGAATCTTGCTGTGTTGTCCAGGCTGGAGTGCAGTGGCATGATCTCGGCTTACTGCAACCTCTGCCTCCTGGGTTCAAGCGATTCTCCTGCCTCAGCCTCCCATGTAGCTGGGACTACAGGCATGTACCAACATGCCCAGCTAATTTTTGTATTTTTAGTAGAGATGGGGTTTCACCATGTTGGCCAAGTTGGTCTCGAACTCCTGACCTCAGATGATCCGCCCGCCTCAGCCTCCCAAAGTGTTAGGATTACAGACATGAGCCACTGCGCCCAGCTTGTTTGAGTTGTTCTATTTCATTATCAGTTACCATGCCTAATTTATACATTAAACTTTATCATAGGTATGTATGTATGGATAAAAGCAGAATATACAGAAGTTGGTACTATCCATGTTTTCAGGTATCCACTGGGGGTCTTGGAATGTATCCTCATGGATAAGGGGGCTACTGCATACCTTTTTGATAGTTACCTTTCTGCAGAATACTAAAGTAGAAGATGTAGATTTTGAAGACATTATTAATGAGTTAGCATCCATTAAAGCTAGAAACGTAAAATTCACTTCTGGTTTTGTGTAATAAAAAATTTAAATTTAAACGTACTGTTGTGAGTTTTAATAACTGGTGTTAAAATTTTTATTTCTTTCACCACTTTAATTTTCTGCCAAAAAGTTGACCATTAAAAAATTTATTAGCTGGGTGTGGTGGGGCATGCCTATAGTCTCAGCTACTTGGGAGACTGAGGTGGGACGATTGCTTGAGCCCAGGTGATTGAGGCTGCAATGAGCCATGATCATGCCACTGCATTCAAGCCTGGGTGACAGACTGAGAACCTGCCTCAAAAAAACCAAAATGCAAACTGAAAAACATGCATGTAAGGCACCCATTTTTCCTTTGGCCTCAGGCTCCAGTGTTGCTCAGCATGTTGCTGGACAAGGAGTTGATGGATCAGACACGACTTTTGCGAGAGTTTCTCTGAATGAATTAGGAGAAGATTGGAAAAGGGAGAAACTCATCAAGAGTGACTCTCTGATGTCTCCATTGTATAACGAGGTGGCTGATGGTGCCATTCTCTGGTGGGGAAAGCTGGAGGTGTTTTCGGGGGAGTGCAGATAATGATTTTTTTGAATATGTTGAAGTTTGAGGTACCTTTAAGCTTCAACTGTCTGATAGTTGTAATTTCTCAAAGAAGAGTTGTCAAAATCAGGCAGTTGCATAAATGGTTACGGAGGTCAGAGAAAAAGTATAAGTTAAAAGTTTGATTGGGAGTTATGAATTGGCCAACAGACAATAACTACAAGAGACAAGGATAACTATGGCAGGTTCTCAGCCCTGGGTGCACAGTGGAGTCACCCAGGAGTTTTAATTTTTTTAAATTCCTGATGTCCAGGCACCACTCCAGACCAATTAAATCAGTCTTTAGAAGTGGGGTCTAGGCAGAGATATTTAAAAAAATGCTTCCCACGGACTTCTGTTTCCAGGAAGATGGAGTAGATGTACTTTCCCTGCTTCCTCTTGCTAATTGCAACTAAAAATCTAGGACATTGCATATGTAACAAACATAAGAAGGCTCCAAAAGGTGGAGCAAAGAAAGACTGGAGGGGACCTTGGAACCAAAGGAACAACGGGCTGGCGAGTGTCCTGGGTTTTCTTTCTGTCTCATCTATTCCAGACTTGGAGCTGAAGAACGCAGCAACCTGGAAACAGCAATGAGCACAGACAAAGTCCCCGCAAAGCCTGCTCTCTCCAACCAAGGTACCAGGGAAGGGGCAGCTCAGCAAGGCAGAAAACTTTCAGACGGTAACTGTTCTACTCTAGGCAAACACCGCCGAAAAGCTATGACCCGTCTCCATGCATGCCAGCAAAGGCTGAGTAGGGAGCCTGGACTTCCACCCTCATGAGGCTCTAAGGAGGCCCTCTACCAGTGCTGTCTGGGTGACGTCAGAGAAGGCCACGTCGTGGGCGAGGTCTATTATTCCTCCCAGCTGGTAAGGTGCTCCTCCCACACTGTGGTGTCCATGGAGACCACGTAGAGATCCTGGACTTCCACCTCCACCTGGCAGTAACTAGGTGCCTGTTCCTTTCCCAGCAGGGTCTTGACAAAGGGGCCTAATGAAGAGTCAGGACTTTTACTGTCACCCAGTGGCAATAAGTCCATCCCCTTGTGGTGTCATTGGAGACAATGAGTTGGGACTCCCACCCCCTCCAGCAGTAATGAGGAGCCCCTTCCCACCCTGGATGTTAATAGTGGCCGAGTACGGATGTGGATTTCTAACTCTACCTGACGTTAATGAGGTAGCTTTTTACTTCCCTTCCTCTGCTGGAGTGGTTTCAGAGACATCTAGCTAAAATAGAGGTTTATATAATATTCAGAATCTTATAATATAAAAATGGTTCAGGCTTCAGTAAAAAAATCATTGATCATACCAAGAACCAGATGTTCTCAAATAAATGAAGATCATCAATACATGGCAAAACAAAGACGCTAGAGATGTTAGATTTTCTGACAAAGGGGTGGCATCAACAAGATGGTGGAGGAGGAAGCCCTGGACTTGCCTGTCCCCTACAAACACATCAGTTCAACAATACACAGACAAATTTCCCTTGTGAGAAATCCAGTAACTTTTCAGAAGTTTCTGCACCTCGGGCAAGCATGAAACCAGCCACATCTAAGTCAGTAGGAAAATTTGAAACATCCTTTCAACCAAATCTCAACCCCTGGCCCAGCACCATATATTTAAATGAAAATCCCCAGCTCTCAGCCTCTCCCTGGGAAGGGAAAGATTTGGACTGTACATCAAGTATTACACCTTCTCTGGGGGCTGCCCAAGGGACTGGTTTCTGTCTTGCTTGTCTCAAGGCACTGATGGGAGCCAGCATGCTCTAGATGACTGGCAGCTGGTGAGAACATAGATGGTGATTTGAGATTTGAACTAGTATACAAGCTGTTGCCATAGCCTCTCTCCTCAGTACAGAGTGAAGAAAACCCCCCAAACCCCAGAAACCAGCTTCTTCCTGAAAAAAGGGGAGTTGGATCATGTGTCCAATGTTCCAACTTTTCTGGGGGCTGCCCAAGGGATTGGCTTCTGCCTGGTTGGCCTTGGAGTGTTGCTAGGACCCAGCATGCTCTAGAAGCCTGGGTGCCAGTGAGAACAAAGATGAAGTTCAGACTAGCACGAAGGTTTGAGAGGCCACCGAAATCTCTGGGCAGGCTGATTGGCGAGGATCTTCTCTTGTATGAGGCTATCTGCAAAGTCTGGGAGAGATGGTTGTTTTCAGTAATGCACAGATGGTTGTTTTCTCTATTACAGAAACAGACCTATAACTAGTAGGGAGATTGAGTCAGTAATCGAAAACCTCCCAAACAGAAACACAAGGAGTTAGGAAAATGAAGAGACAGGAAATATGTCCCAAACAAAGGAACAAGATACATCTCCAGAAGCTGACCAAATGAAATGGTGATACATGATTTATTTGACAGAGAATTCAATTAGCCATCATAAAGATGCTCAATGAGGTCAGGAGAAAAATGTATGAATAAAGTGAGAATTTCAACAAAGTGATAGAACATATTAAAAAGTACCAAACAGAAACCTTGGAGCTGAGAATACAACGATAACTGAAGAATTCACTAGAGGGGTTTGATAGCAGACTAGATCAATCAGAAGAAAGGACTGGTGAACTTGGAGAAAGGTCATTGAAAATTATCCTGTAAATCATTTAAAATTTGAGTATAAAAGGTAAAAGACAAGATTATTAAAAGTAACTAAACTATAAAATATTTTAATGTGACATCAATAACATAAAGTGTGTGTGTTTGTGTGTATATGCATGTGTGAAGTAAAATTATAGGATTTTTGTATGTGATTGAAGGTAAGTTGTATCAGCTTAAAATAGATTATTGTAACTGTAAGATGTTTTATTAAACCACAAAGAAAATGCCTGTAGAAGATATACAAAAGAAAACAGAAAAGAATAAAACTACAATAAATTAATGAAACACAAAGAAAGATAGCAGAAAGGAAAGAGGGACAAAAGAACTACAAGACAGACAGAAAACCATACAAAAATTGGCAATGATAAGACTTTCCCTATCAATAATTAAGAGTAAATAAGGCTGGGCATGGTGGATCATGCCTGTAATCCCAGCAATTTGGGAGGCCGAGGCAGGTGGATTACTTGAGGTCAGCCTAGCCAACATGGCAAAACCTTGTCTTTACTAAAAATACCAAAATTAGCCAGGCATCATGGCACACGCCTGTAATCCCAGCTACTTGGGAGGCTGAGGTAGGAGAATCACTTGAACCTGGGAAGCGGAGGTTGCAGTGAGCTGAGATTGTGCCACTGGAGACCAGCCTGGTCAACATGGTGAAACCCTGTCTCCACTAAAAACACAAAACAATTAGCTGGGCATGGTGGTGCATGACTGTAATCCCAACTACTTGGAAGTCTGAGGCAGGAGGATCCCTTGAACCCGGAGGCAGAGGTTGCAGTGAGCCAAGATCACACTACTGCACTCTAGCCTGGGTGACAGACTCCATCTCAAAACATTAAAAAAAAAAAAGGTAAATAGATTAAACTCCCCAATAGAAAGACATAGAGTGGCTGAACAGAGTTTTAAAAAAGATTCAACTATATTCTGTCTACAAGAGACTCACTTTTGCCTTAAGGACACACATAGACTGAAAGTGAAGAGATGGAAAAAGATGTTTTACACAATGGTAACTAAAAGGGAGCAGGGGTGGCTATACGTATATCAGACAAAATAGACTTTAGTCAAAACACTCACAAGAGACAAAGAAGGTCATAGTATATGTTAAAAGGGTCAATTCAACAGGAAGATTTAAAAATTATAAATATATATGCACTCAATGTCACAGCACCTAAATATATAAAGTGAACATTGACAGGACTGAACAGAGAAATTGACAGCACTACAATAATAGTAGGAGACTTCAGTACTACTTTCAGTAAGGGATGGAACATCCAGACTGATAATTAATAAGGAAACAGTGGACATGAACAACACTTTAGATGAAATGAGTCTAACACATATGTTTATATAGGACATTCCATTCAACAGCAGCAGAATACACATTCTTCTCAAATGCACATCAAATATTCTCCATATAAATCTCATGTGAGTTCACAAAACACATCTTAATAAAGTTAAGAAGACTGAAATAATACCAAATATCTTTCCTAACCACAATGGAATGGAATTAGAAATTAATAGCAGAAAGAAAACTAGAACATTCACAGATATGTGTAAATTAAGCAATACATTCCTGAAAAACCAATGGGTCAAAGAAGAAATTGCAAAGGAAATTAGAAAATATCCTGAGACAAATAACAAAAACACAACATACCAAATCACACAGCATGTAGCAAAAGTAGCACTAACGGGGAACTTCATAGCAGTAAATGGCTGCTTTAAATAACAAGAAATCTCAAACAAACATCTTACTTTATACCTCAAGAAACTAAAAAAAAAAGAAGAAAAAAATAAGCCTGAAGCTAGCAGAAGGAAGGAAATAATAAACACTGGAACAGAAATAATGAAATAGAGACTAGAAAAGCAATAGAAAAGATTAGCAAAACTAAGACTTGGTTTTTAAAAGAGGTAAACAAACTTAACAAACCTCTTGGTAGACCAAGAAAAAAAAGAGAGAAAACTCAAATAAATAAAATCAGAAATTAAAGAGGAATCGTTACAACTGATGCCACCAAAACAACAAGGGTTAGAAGAGACTACTATGACAATTATATGCCAACAAATTAGATAACTTAGAAGAAATGGATAAATTTCTGGAAACATACAACCTACAAGACTGAATCATGAAGAAAAAGGAAATCTGAACGGACCTATAACTAGTAGGAAACCTCTCAAAAAGAAAAGCCCAGGACCTGAGGCCTTCATGGGTGAATTCTACCAAACATTTAAAGAATAATTAGCTCCACCCTTCCTAAACTTCCAAAAAATTGCAGAGGAGGAAATATTTCCAAACTCTTTTACGAAGATTATCCCGATACTAAAGCCAGACAAAGACACTATAAGAAAACTATAGGTTCTAGTGAACTTAGATGCAAAAGCTCTCAACAAAATGCTAGCAAACTCAATTCAACAGCACATTAAAGGATCATACCCTATGAACAAGTTGGATTTATCCGTGGGGATGCCAGGATGTTTCAACATACAAAAATCAATTAATGTGATATACTACTTTAACGGAAAGAAAGACAAAATCACATTTCACAAAATTCAACATACTTTCCTGATAAAAACTGTCAACAAAGTAGAAGTAGGAGAAAATTACCTCAATATAATAAAGGCCATAAAGGAATAGTCCACAGCTATCATCATACTTAACACTGAAAAACCAAGAGCCTTTCCTCTGATGTCTGGGACAAGGCAAAGATGCCTACTCTCACCACTTTTATTCAACACAGTACTGGAAGTCCAAGCCAGAGCAGTTAGGCAAGAGAAAAATAAAAGATATTCAAATTGGAAACAAAGAAGTAAAATTATCTCTGCACATGACAGGATCTTACATGTAGAAACCCTAAAGACTACACTGAAGAACTGTTAGAACTAATATATTAATTCAGCAAAGTTGCAGGATACAAAATCAATGTATAAAAACCACTTACACTCTTTTTTGTTGAGACAGAGTCTCACTCTGTTGTTCAGGCTGGAGTGCAGTGGTGCGATCTTGGCTCACTGCAGCCTCCACCTCCCGGGTTTAAGCAATCCTCCTGCCTCAGCCTCCTGAGTAGCTGGGAGTACAGGTGTGGGCCACAATGCCTGGCTAATTTTTTTTTTTTTTTTTTTTTTTTGAGACAGAGTCTCACTCTGTCACCCAGGCTGGAGTGCAGTGGCGCAATCTCGGCTCACTGCAAGCTCCACCTCCTGGGTTCACGCCATTCTCCTGCCTCAGCCTCCCGAGTAATTGGGACTATAGGGGCCCACCACCATGCCTGGCTAATTTTTTTGCAGAGATGGGGTTTCACCATGTTAGCCAGGATGGTCTCGATCTCTTGACCTCATGATCCACCCGCCTTGGCCTCCCAAAGTGCTGGGGTTACAGGCGTGAGCCACCACGCCTGGCCTGTATTTTTTATTTTTTATTTTTGGTAGATATGGGGTTTCACCATGTTGGCCAGGCTGGCTGTATTACTTCTATTAGTAACAAAACAATACCCCCGTCCCCCAAGTTTCTTTGTGGCAGGAATTCACAGAGCCTTCATTTCTTACCTGCAGGTGGAATCTCCACAGAAGGCTATAATATGCAGTATTTCCCAGGCTATGTGGTCGCTGAGCTCTTGTCGCCTTCCTTTTGGGCCCACTTCATGACACATGGAGGATTTGCTTCTCTCTGGAAGCCTAGCAATTGATCACCTTGGAGAGAGAAAACTGTGGGCTCTCTGCAGGCTTAGTTGGCTGCCCGCCCCTCACCTGGAGACCCTGCCACCATTTGGGCCTGTGAGACTGTCCAGCCCCTTGGAGTGGATGAACTATTGTTAATTTGTAGATAGTTTGAACCTGATTACGATCAAGTCTTGCTAACCTGGAATCATTCAGTCTCTTCAGTGACTTGTACATTTTATTTATTTTTTTTGAGATGGAGTCTCATTCCGTCGCACAGGCTGGAGTGCAATGGTACGATCTCGGCTCACTGCAACCTCTGCCTTCCGGGTTCAAGAGATTCTCCTACTTCAGCCTCCTGAGTAGCTGGGATTACAGAGCCCGTGGCTAATTTTTGTATTTTCAGTAGAGATGGGGTTTCACCACGTTGGTCAGGCTGGTCTCAAACTCCTGACCTTGTGATCCGCATGCCTCGGCCTCCCAAAGTGCTGTGATTACAGGCATGAGCCACCGTGCCTGGCCCCTAATTTTTTGTATCTTTAATAGAGATGGGTTTTCACCATGTTGACCAGGCTGGCCTCGAACTCTTGACCTCGTGATCTGTCCGCCTCGGCCTACCAAAGTGCTGGGATTACAGGCGTGAGCCACTGCACCCAGCCGACCTATACATTTTTGTTCTTATCTGTTGTTTGCGATCTGATTTGGAGTGTGTGGCAGGTCGGAAAGTGATAATGGTTTTCTCCCCTGGAGGAAATTCAGTCTGTAGTTTCTCATTGATAAGTCGACAGGACCATGGATAAGGGAAAGGCCATGGCGTGGTTTGGAGCATGGCTTTGAAAGCAGCTCTGGATCTGAATCCTGACCTTTCTGTGACGTTCAAGTTGTGCTCCCTCTATGCATCACAGCTTTACCGGCAGACCCTGGAGTTCTCTCCCCAGAGCTGGTTGTGGGATTGACATCACATCAAGTGAGTGACCGTGCCTGGCCCCCAGTGCTGCACACTTAGAACCTTATACTTGTCTGCACTCCCGTCTTCTGATCAGATCCACAATAATTCTCAGCCTGTTATTCCTTAGCCTTGGGGACGAGGCTTCAAACCATGGGTTTCTGGATTATAAACTGAAAGGCTTTTTGCAAACCCCAGCACAACGTCCATCCTATTAGAGTGTCTCCATACATGTCTACCGAGTGACAGAGCTTGGGATGGGATGTGTAGGACAAGATCTTGGTCTGGGTGGGACCCCATGGGAGCCAGCCGAGGGGTTCAGCCTGGAACCCTTTGAAGGAGGTGGTGAGTGGGGAGGGGAGGTTGGGCAGGGAACAGCCCTGGGCCCTAGGGGCCACAGCAGGAGAGGGGAACATGGAGGATAGCTGGGTCAGTGGTCTGGGGAGGCCCATGGAACTTGTCCCCCATGCTTCAGAGAGCTCCTGGTGCAGGGCAGACATCCAGGTGTGTGGTGCTGGCCTGTGGAGGCTGTGGGAACAGGAGACACAGCCCAGGATCAACTGCATGGGCTAAGGTGGGCACAACAGATCTCCAGGGGCAGGACTGGGAACAAACAGGGTCCCAGGCAGCTGGCCAGTGAGCCAGGTTGGCTGAGGCTCCCAAGGGCACCAAGGGATGCAGTCGCCTGGCTGCTGGACCTAGGCTTCTGCGAGCCTGTGTGTGTGTGCACATGTGTAGCTCTCCTCACCAAGGCACCGACCGGCTCTCGCTGCCCAGCATGCAGGCAAAGTCCTCAGGATGGCTGCGTGGAAACCAGGCAGCAAAGATGGCCCTTTAGTGAAGACAACTGTTAGAACACAGTCACTTGCACGTGCTGGGGAGTATATGGTAATCCAGTTAAGACAATCTTCCTGGATACAGAGATGGGCCCAAATGGATCAACGACTATGCCTCTACCACAGCTGTATATATGGCCTGTGCACACAGTAAGGATAATTATTTCTGATTTCAAAGATAACAAATACACAATAGAAGAAAAAACAAGTGTAAAGATGCAGGAAAAAAATCACTAATTTTCCCATCCCCACAAAGCAACGAATGTAAACATCTTGGCATAATTTCTTTTAGTTCTGTTTTCTTTAAACAGTTAAGCAAAGCTGAGGTATATTTACACATGGCTTTTGTGTCTTGCGTTTTTACTCATTTAATTGAAACACATTCTCATGGCCTTAAGAATGCTTGTGGGCAGACATTTTAATGATTCCTTAGCAGTCTTTCGGTGAAGATTCTGTATTGATGTCACCAGGTGTCCAAGGCCAACCATGTAGTTCTTTCTGGTTCTTCCCAGTGAGAAAGGCCCTGGGAGACAGCCCAGGTGGGGAGAGCACACATCTCCATTTAGGTGGCCTGGCCTCAAATCCTGCTCAAGTCTTTGGGACTTTGGGCAAACTATTAAACTCTTTGTGCCTCACTTTTGGGCAAAATAGGTAGTGATAGTAGTTATGTTGTGATGATGAAATCAAATGAATTAATATTTTAGAGCACTTAGCCTGAGATACAGTAGAAGTTATGTGTTTATTAAATAAATAACAACCTCTTCCCATGTTTTATTTAATTTAAAAATTTTTTTTTCAACTTTTATTTTAAGTTCAGGGGTACATGTGCAGGATATGCAGGTTTGTTAAATAGGTAAATGTGTGCCATGGTGGTTTGCTGAACAGATCACTCCATCACCCAGGTATTAAGCCCAGCATCCAGTAGCTATTCTTCCTGATCCTCTCCCTCCCCTTGACAGGGCCTGTGTTGTTGAACAACAGTGTGTGTTGTTCACCCCCATGTGTCCATGTGTGTTAGTTTGTTGAGGATAATGGCTTCCAACTCCATCCATGTCCCTGCAAAGGAGATGATTTTGTTCCTTTTTATGGCTGCATAGTATTCCATAGTGTATATATACTGCATTTGCTTTATACAGTCTATCTCACTGATAGGCATTTGGGGTGATTCCATGTCTTTGCTATTGTGGATAGTGCTGCAGTGAACATACTTGTGCATGTATCTTTATAATAGAATGAATTATGTTCCTTTAGGTATATACCCAGTAATGGGGTTGCTGGGTCAAATGGTATTTCAGCCTCTAGGCTTTCTAGGTATTTCTAGGCCTCTAGGAATCATCACACTGTCTTCTACAATGATTGAACTAATTTACACTCCCACCAACAGTGTAAAAGTGTTCCTTTTTCTCCACAACCTTGCCAGCAACTGTTATCTTTTGATTTTTTAGTAATAGCCATTCTGACTGGCATGAGCTATCTCATTGTGGTTTTGATTTTCATTTCTCTAATGATCAGTGATGTTGAGCTTTTTTCATATGTTTGTTGGCTACATGTATGTCTGTTTATGTTCTTTGCCCACTTTTTTTTTTTTTTGAGATGGAGTTTTGCTCTTGTTACCCAGGCTGGAGTGCAATGGCATGATCTCAGCTCACTGAAACCTGTGCCTGCTGGGTTCAAGTGATTTTCCAGCCCCAGTCTCCCGAGTAGCTGATATTACAGGCATGCGCCAGCACCTCTGGCTAATTTTTGTATTTTTAGTAGAGACAGGGTGTCACTATGTTGGCCAGGCTGGTCTTGAACTCCTGACCTCAGGTGATCTGCCTGCCTCTGCCTCCCAAAGTGCTGGGATTAGAGGTGTAAGCCACTGTGCCCAGCCCCTTTGCCTACTTTTAATGGGGTTGTTTTTTTTCTTGTAAATTTGTTTAAGTTTATTGTAGATTCTGGATGTTAGGCCTTTGTCAGATGGCTAGATTACAAAAATTTTCTCCCATTCTCTAGGTTTTCTGTTCACTCTGATGGTAGTTCCTCTTGCTGTTCAGAAGCTTTTTAATCAGATCCCATTTATCAATTTTTGCTTTCCTTGCAATTGCTTTTGGCATTTTAATCATAAAATCTTTGCCCATGCATATGTCCTGAATAGTATTGCCTAGATTTTCTTCTAGGGTTTTTATAGTTTCAGGATGTACATTTAAATCTTTTTAATCCATCTTGAGTTAATTTTTGTATATGGTGTAAGGAAGGGGTCCAGTTTCAATTTTCTGCATATGGCTAGCCAGTTCTCCCAGTGCCATTTATTAAACAGGGAATCCTTTCCCCATTGCTTGTTTTTGTCAGGTTTGTCAAAGATCAGATGGCTGTAGGTGTGCAGTCTTATTTCTGAGTTCTTTATTCTATTCCATTGGTCTATGTGTCTGTTTTTGTACCAGTACCATGCTGTTTTGGTTACTGTAGCCTTGTAGTATAGTTTGAAGTTGGGTAGTGTGATGCCTCCAGCTTTGTTCTTTTTTTTAAATTATACTTTAAGTTCTGGGATACATGTGCAGAATGTGCAGGTTTGTTACATAGGTATACACGTGCCATGGTGGTTTGCTGCACCCATCAACCCGTCATTTACCTTAAGTATTTCTCCTAATGCTGTCCCTCCCCTAGCCCTCCACCCACTAACAGGCCCTGGTCTGTTATGTTCCCCTTCCTGTGTCCATGTGTTCTCATTATTCAACTCCCACTTACAAGTGAGAGTATATGGTGTTTGATTTTCTGTTCCTGTGTTAGTTTGCTGAGAATGATGGTTTCCAGCTTCATCCATGTCCCTGCAAAGGACATGAACTCATCCTTTTTAATGGCTGTATACTATTCCATGGTGTATATGTGCCATATTTTCTTTATCTAGTTTATCATTGATGGGCATTTGGGTTGGTTCCAAGTCTTTGCTACTGTGACCAGTGCTGCAATAAACATACGTGTGCATGTGTCTTTATAGTAGAATGATTCATAATTCTTTGGGTATATACCCAGTAATAGGATTGCTGGGTCAAATGGTATTTCTGGTTCTAGATCCTTGAGGAATCGCCACACTGTCTTCCACAATGGTGGAACTAATTTACACTCCCAACAGTGTAAAAGTGTTCCTCTTTCTCCATATCCACCCCAGCATCTGTTGTTTCCTGACTTTTTAATGATCGCCATTCTAACTGGTGTGAGATGGTATCTCATTGTGGTTTTGATTTGCATTTCCCTAATGACCAGTGATGATGAGCTTTTTTTCATATGTTTGTTGGCCATGTAAATGTCTTCTTTTGAGAAGTGTCTGTTCATACCCTTTCCCCACTTTTTGATGGGGTTGTTTGTTTTTTCTTGTAAATTTGTACAAGTTCTTTGTAGATTCTGGATATTAGCCCTTTGTCAGATGGATAGATTGCAAGATTTTTCTTCCATTCTGTAGGTTTCCTGTTCACTCTGATGATAGTTTCTTTTGCTATGCAGAAGCTCTTTAGTTTAGTTAGATCCCATTTGTCAATTTTGGCTTTTGTTGCCATTACTTTTGGTGTTTTAGTCTTGAAGTCTTTGCCCATGCCTATGTCCTGAATGGTATTGCCTAGGTTTTCTTCTAGGGTTTTTATGGTTTTAGGTCTTACTTTTAAGTCTTTAATCCATCTTGAGTTAATTTTTGTATAAGGTGTAAGGAAGGGATCCAGTTTTAGTTTTCTGCATATGGCTAGCCAGTTTTCCCAATACCATTTTTAAATAGGGAATCCTTTCCCCATTTCTTGTTTTTGTCAGGTTTGTCAAAGATCAGATGGTTGTAGATGTGTGGTGTTATTTCTAAGGCCTCTGTTCTGTTCCATTGGTCTGTATGTCCGTTTTGATACTAGTACCGTGCTGTTTTGGTTACTGTAGCCTTGTAGGACAGTTTGAAGTCAGGTAGCATGATGCCGCCAGCTTTGTTCTTTTTGCTTAGGATTGTCTTGGCTATACAGGCTCTTTTTTGGCTCCATATGAAATTTAAAGTAGTTTTTTCTATTTCTGTGACAAAAGTCAATGGTAGCTTGATGGGGATAGCATTGAATCTATAAATTACTTTGGGCAGTATGGTCATTTTCACAATATTGATTCTTCCTATCCATGAGCATGGAATGTTTTTCCATTTGTTTGTGTTCTCTCTCATTTCATTGAGCAGTGGCTTGTAGTTCTCCTTGAAGAGGTCCTTCACATCCCATGTAAGTTGTATTCCTAGGGATTTTATTCTCTTTGTAGCAATTGTGAATAGGAGTTCACTCATGATTTGGATCTCTGTTTGTTTATTGTTGGTGTATAGGAATGCTTGTGATTTTTGCACATTGGTTTTGTATCCTGAGACTTTGCTGAAGTTGCTTATCAGCTTAAGGAGATTCTGGGCTGAGACGATGGGGTTTTCTAAATATACAATCATGTCATCTGCAAACAGAGAAAATATGACTTCCTCTCTTCCTATTTGAATACCCTTTAGTTCTTTCTCTTTCCTGATTACCCTGGCCAGAACTTCCAATACTGTGTTGAATAGGAGTGGTGATACAGGGCATCCTTGTCTTGTGCCAGTTTCAAAGAGAATGCTTCTAGCTTTTGCTTATTCAGTATGATATTAGCTGTAAGTTTGTCATAAATAGTCTTATTATTTTGAGATATGTTCCATCAATACCTAGTTTATTGAGAGTTTTTAGCAGGAAGGGGTGTTGAATTTTATCTAAGGCCTTTTCTGCATCTATCGAGATAATCATGTGGTTTTCGTTATTGGTTCTGTTTATGTGATGGATTACATTTATTGATTTGCATATGTTGAAGCATCCTTGCATCCCAGGGATGAAGCCGACTTGATTGTAGGATGAGCTTTTGTTGTGCTGCTGGATTCGGTTTGCCAGGATTTTTGCATCTATGTTCATCAGGGATATTGGCCTGAAATTTTCTTTTTTTGTTGTGTTTCTGCCAGGTTTTGGTATCAGGATGATGCTGGCTTCATAAAATGAGTTAGGGAGGAGTCTCTCTTTTTCTATTGTTTGGAATAGTTTCAGAAGGAATGGTACCAGCTCCTCTCTGTACCTCTGGTAGAATTCGGCTGTGAATCTGTCTGGTCCTGGGCTTTTTTTTGGTTGGTAGGCTATTAATTACTGCCTTAATTCCAGAACTTATTATTAGTCTATTCAGGGATTCAACTTCTTCCTGGTTAAGTCTTGGGAGGGTTTATGTGTCCAGGAGTTTATCCATTTCTTCTAGATTTTCTTATTTGTGTAGAGGTGTTTATAGTATTCTCTGATGATAGTTTGTATTTCTGTGGGATCAGTGGTGATATCCCCTTTATCATTTTTTATTGTGTCTATTTGATTCTTCTCTCTTTTCTTCTTTATTAGTCTGGCTAGTGGTCTATTTTGTTAATCTTTTAAAAAAAACCAGCTCCTGGATTCATTGATTGTTTTGAAGGTTTTTACGTGTCTCTATCTCCTTCAGTTCTGCTCAGATATTAGTTATTTCTTGTCTTCTGCTAGTTTTTGAATTTGTTTGCTCTTGCTTCTCTAGTTCTTTTAATTGTGATGTTAAGGTGTTGATTTTAGATCTTTTCTGCTTTCTGATGTGAACATTTAGTGCTATAGATTTCCCTGTAAACACTGCTTTAGCTGTGTGTCCCAGAGATTCTGGTATGGTATCTTTGCTCTCACTGGTTTCAAATAACTTATTTATTTCTGCGTTAATTTTGTTGTTTACCCAGTAGTCATTCAGGAGCAGGTTGTTTAGTTTCCATGTAGTTGTATGGTTTTGAGTGAGTTTCTGAATCCTGAGTTCTAATTTGATTGCACTTTGGTCTGAGAGACTGTTATGATTTCCGTTCTTTTGCATTTGCTGAGGAGTGTTTTACTTCCAATTATGTGGTCAGTTTTAGAATAAGTGCGATGTGGTGCTAAGAAGAATGTATATTCTGTTGATTTGTGGTGGAAAGTTCTGTAGATGTCTATTAGGTCTGCTTGGTCCAGAGCTGAGTTCAAGTCCTGAATATCCTTGTTAATTTTCTGTCTCATTGATCTGTCTAATATTGACAGTTGGGTGTTAAAATCTCCCACTATTGTTGTGTAGGAGTCTAAATCTCTTTGTAGGTCTCTAAGAACTTGCTTTATGGATCTGGGTGCTCCTGTATTGGGTGCATATATATTTAGGATAGTTAGCTCTTCTTGTTGAATTGATCCCTTTACCATTATGCAATGCCCTTCTTTGTCTTTTTTTATCTTTGTTGGTTTAAAGTCTATTTTATCAGAGACTAGGATTGCAACCCCTGCTTTTTTTGGCTTTCCATTTGCTTGGTAAATATTCCTCCATCCCTTTATTTTGAGCCTATGTGTGTCTTTGCATGTGAGATGGGTCTCCTGAATATAGCACATTGATGGGTCTTGACTCTTGATCCAACTTGCCAGTCTGCGTCTTTTAACTGGGGCATTTAGCCCATTTATATGTAAGGTTAATATTGTTATGTGTGAATTTGATCCTGTCATTATGATGCTATTTGGTTATTTTGCCCATTAGTTAATGCAGTTTATTCATAATGTCAGTGGTCTTTACAATTTGGTTTGTTTTTGCAGTGGCTGATACTGGTTTTTCCTTTCCATATTTAGTGCTTCCTTCAGGAGCTCTTGTAAAGCAGTCCTGGTGGTGACAAAAATCTCTCAGCATTTGCTTGTCTGTAAAGGATTTTATTTCTCCTTTGCTTATGAAGCTTAGTTTGGCTCGATATGAAATCCTGGGTTGAAAATTCTTTAAGAATGTTGAATATTGGCCCCCACTCTCTTTTGGCTTGTAGGGTTTCTGCCGAGAGAGCCACTGTTAGTCCGATGGGCTTCCCTTTGTGGGTAACCTGACCATTCGACCATTCTCTCTGGCTGCCCTTATCATTTTTTCCTTCATTTCAGCCTTGGTGATTTTGATGATTATGTGTCTTGGGGGTGCTCTCCTGTAGGAGTATCTTTGTGGTGTTCTCTGTATTTCCTGAATTTGAATGTTGGCTTGTCTTGCTAGGTTGGGGAAATTCTCCTGGATAATATCCTGAAGAGTGTTTTCCAATTTGGTTCCATTCTCCTCATCACTTTCAGGTACACCAGTCAAACATAGGTTTGGTCTCTTACTTAGTCCCATATTTCCTGGAGGCTTTGTTCATTCCTTTTCATTCTTTTTTCTCTAATCTTGTCTTCATGCCTTACTTCATTATGTTGATTTTCAATCTCTGATATCCTTTCTTCTGCTTGATCAATTCAGCTATAGATACTTGTGTATGCTTCACGAAGTTCTCGTGCTGTGTTTTTCAGCTCCATCAGGTCATTTATGTTCTTCTCTAAACGGGTTATTCTAGTTAGCAATTTCTCTAACTTTTTTCCAAAGTTCTTAGTTTCCTTGCATTGGGTTAGAACATACTCCTTTAGCTCGGAGGAGTTTGTTATTACCCACCTTCTGAAGCCTACTTCTGTCAATTCATCAAACTCACTTTCCGTTCAGTTTTGTTCCCTTGCTGGCAAGGAGTTGTGATCCTTTGGAGGAGAAGAATCGTTTTGGTTTTCGGAATTTTCAGCCATTTTGCGCTGATTTTTCCTCATCTTTGTGGATTTATCTATCTTTGGTCTTTGATGTTGGTGACCTTTGGATTGGGTTTCTGTGTGGACTTCCTTTTTGCTGATGTTGATGTTATTCCTTTATATTTGTTAGTTTTTCCTTCTAACAGTCAGGCCCCTCTGCTGCAGGTTTGCTGGAGTTTGCTGGAGGTCCACTCCAGACCCTGTTTGCCTGGGTATCATCAGCGGAGGCTGCAGAACAGCAAAGATTGCTGCTTGTTCCTTTCTCTGGAAGCTTCATTCCAGAGGGGCACCCATCAGATGCCAGCTGGAGCTATGCTCTATGAGGTGTTTGTCAACCCCTGCTGGGAGGTGTCTCCCAGTCAGGAGGCACAGGGATCAGGGACCCACTTGAGGACACAGTCTGTCCCTTAGCAGAGCTTGAGCACTGTGCTGGGAGATCTGCTGCTGTCTTCAGAGCTGGCAGGCAGAAACGTTTAAGTCAGCTGCGGCTGTCTTCACAGCTGCCCTTTCCCCCAGGTGCTCTGTCCCAGGGAGATGGGAGTGTTATCTATAAGCCCCTGCCTGGGACTGCTGCCTTTCTTTCAGAGATGCCCTGCCCAGAGAGGAGGAATCTAGAGAGGCAGTGTGGCTACAGCAGCTTTGCTGAGCTGCAGTGGGCTCAGCCCACTTTGGACTTCTTGGTGGCTTTGTTTATACTGTGAGGGGAAATCCACCCACTCAAGCCTCACTAATGGCAGATGTCCCTCCCCCCACCAAGGTCGAGTATCCCAGGTTGACTTCAGACTACTGTGCTGGCAGTGAGAATTTCAAGCCAGTGGATCTTAGCTTGCTGGGCTCTGTGGGGGTGAGATCCACTGAGGTAGACCACTGGGCTCCCTGGCTTCAGCCCCCTTTCCAGGGCAGTGAATGGTTCTGTCTTGCTGGCATTCCAGTTGCCACTGAGGTATGAAAAAAAAAAAAGCAACAAAAAAAACTCCTGCAGCTAGCTCGGTGTCTGCCCAAACAGCTGCCCAGTTTTGTGCTTGAAACCCAGGGCCCTGGTGGTGTAGGCACCCAAGGGAATCTGCTGGTCTGCGGGTTGTAAAGACCTTGGGAAAAGCGTAGTATCTGGGCTGGAGTGCGCTGTTCCTCAAGGCACAGTCCCTCATGGTTTCCCTTGGCTAGGGGAGGGAGTTCCCTGACCCTTTGCACTTCCTGGGTTAGGTGACACCGCACCCTGCCCTCTGTGGGCTGCACCCACTGTGTAACTGGTCCCAATAAGATGAGCCAGCTACCTCAGTTGGAAATGCAGAAATCGCCTGCCTTCTTCATTGATCTCACTGGGAGCTGCAAATAGGACCAGAGCTGTTCCTATTTGGCCATCTTGCCAGCCACCACCCAGCTTTGTTCTTTTTGCTTAGGATTGACTTGGCTATTTGGGCTCTTTTTTGGTTCCATATGAATTTTAAAACAGTTTTTCATAATTCTGTGAAAAATGTCAATGGTAGTTTAATGGGAATAGCATCAAATCTATACATTACTTTGGTCAGTATGGCCATTTTCATGATTCTGATTCTTCCTATCCATGAGCATGGAATGTTTCTCTATTTGTTTGTGTCCTCTCTGATTTCTCTGAGCAGTGGTTTGTAGTTCTCCTTGAAGAGGTCCTTCACATCCCTCATAAGTTGTATTCCTAGGTATTCTATTCTTTTTGTAGCAATTATGAATGGGAGTTCATTCATGATTTGGTTCTCTGCTTGCCTGTTAATGGTGTATAGGAATGCTAGAGATTTTTGCATATTGATTTTATATGCTGAGATTTTGCTGAAGTTGCTTATCAGCACAAGAAGCTTTTGGGCTGAGATGATGGGGTTTTCTAGATATAGGATCTTGTCGTCTGAAAACAATGATGACTTCCTCTCATCTTATTTGGATATTTGGATGCCTTTTCTTTCTTTCTTCCCCTTGCCTGATTGCCCTGGCCAGGACTTCCATACTATGTTGAATAGGATTGGTGAGAGGGGGCATCCTTGTCTTGTGCCAGTTTTCAAGGGGAATGCTTCCATCTTTTGCCTATTCAGTATGATGTTGGCTGGCTGCTCTTTCCACATTTTAGATTACTTCTTTTTCTTTTTTTTTTGAGATGGAGTCTCGCTCTATCTCCCGGGTTGGGGTGCAGTGGTGCGATCTCGGTTCACTGCAACCTTCGCCTCTCGGGTTCAAGCGATTCTTCTGCCTCAGCCTCCTGAGTAGTTGGGATTACAGGTGTATGCCACAATGCCCGGCTAATTTTTGTATTTTTAGTAGAGACAGGTTTCACCATGTTGGCCAGGCTGGTCTCGAACTGCTGACCTCAGATGATCCACCTACTTTGGCCTCCCAAAGTGCTGGAATTACAGGCATGAGCCACCATGCCCGACCTAGATTACTTTTTTAGAATGCATTCCCAAAAGTGAGACTCCTCGGGTGAGGGATTCACATATTTTAAAGGCTTTTGGTGCATCCCTGTAGTTGGTCCTGATGCCTCCTCTCTCCAGCAGCCTCCCAGCACATCCTCCTGCTGCTGCTTCTGTTTCCTGCTTCCCGGACAGCATTCGAGTTGGGGACTTGAGTTAAAAATACTTTTTGCAAATTGGATGCATAAAATATAGTACCCTCTTATTTTAACTATTTCATTAATTGAAACATTTTCCAAATGTTCACTAATACTTTGTGTTTACCCTTTTGCTAATTGTCAGCTGCTGTGCTTTGTCCACCTTAGAAAAATTGAGTTTGTCCTGGTGCGGTGGCTCACACCTGTAATCCAAACACTTTGGGAGGCCAAGGTGGGAGGACTGCTTTAGGCCCAGGAGTTCGAGACCATTCGGAGAAACACAGTGAGACCCCCCATCTCTACAAAAAAAAAATATAAAAAAATTAGCCGGGCATCTGTTTGTGGTCTCAGCTACCTGGGAGACTGATACAAAAGGATCGCTTGAGCCCAGAAGTACAAGGCTGCAGTGAGCTATGACTGTGCCACTGCCACTGCACTCTAGTCTGGGCAGCAGGGAACTAAAAAAAAATAGAGTTCCAAGGATTTTTTTGGTTTATTTATATGAGGCTTTATATGTGAAGGTTATTGACCTACATGTTTATTGTTTCTTTCTTTTTTTTTTTTTTTTGAGACAGAGTCTCTCTCTGTCGTGCAATGGTGTGATCTTGGCTCATTGCAACCTCCGCCTACTGGGTTCAAATGATCCTCCTGCTTCAGCCTTCCAAGTAGCTGGGATTACAGGTACCTGCCACCTTATCCTGCTAGCTTTTGTATTTTTAATAGAGATGTGTTTCACTATATTGGCCTGGCTGGTTTGGAACTCCTGACCTCAAGTGATCCGCCCGCCTCAGCATCCCAAAGTGCTGGGATTATAGGCATGAGCCACCATGCTTGGCTTGTTTCTCTTTCATTTGGAATTCTCTTCTTATACGAACTCTGGCCTCCATATTCTGATAGTTATTTGCCTCTGTTTTTTACCTGTAATGTCAAACACAGGGCTTGGTTCTCTTTTAGAGTCAGGCCCACATCTGGCAGCATCTTCAGCGTGGCCCCAGGACTGGCTGACAGAGGCCCTCTCTCTTGGGCTCCCATGTGGCTGCTATTCAAGGAGGGGGCGAAGGAAGGGTCTGCGAAACAAGAATTGGGTGCAAAATAGGACTATATAGAAACAGTAGACATTGTGCATATTGTTTATTTCACTCTTTTCTAAAGGAGCTTGAGGCTGTTAGGGAGGAGCAAATGAGTTCTGAGCAGCTGTACGACAAAAATCAGAAGAAATGAGAAAGCCTCGGAGAACTGCTAAGCCGGCGCTGCAGTAAGCCCGGAATCCGCTAGGTGTCAGGGCAGAACTCTGCTGCCTGAGTTCTGCGAGGAGACAGGCTTCCATTTACTCCCATCCAAAGTCAACAGCGCGCTGCTCAAGAGAATATTACTTTTTGAGAAGAAACAAAAGGTCTTGGATATGATAACACACAAACACAGTTAAAAGTTTGTCCCCTAGCTCACAAACTGCAAAGACTTTTCCTATATCGCCGGGTAAGACTCACAAAGAATTCAGAACTTTTGTCTTGGCATTTCAGGGCACCTTCCATTTGGAAACACTCGTGACTGTGAATAGGTTGGTAAAATCCTTTCTCTTCTCTTTGTGGCCCCCTCACAAAATGTCTACCTGCTTCTTCACCTTGGGCTGCCCTTTTCCACCCCTGACCCCATTAAGCTCCATAATCCTCGCTCCTTCCTTAGTGGTGGGGGCCACGGCCTGGCACAACGTCCTCTCTCCTAGAAGTTACCTGGAGGACCATAGTTGGGGAGGGGACACCCAATTCCTGAAGCCCCGTTCTGGTCCCAGCTCACTCATTAGATGCCTCACTGGGTGCATTTAAATCAGAGTGGCTGTTTCAGGCTCTGGCCCCAACTAGCAACTGATTGCTCCTGGAGCTGCCTCCCCATGGGGGTTTCTGTGAGGGTCCGGCTGCGCCACCCTCTTCCTCCTGTCCACCCTCCAGAAGCACCCTCATGGAGCGCCTTGTCTTCTCCACCGTAAATGCTTGTTGGGTAAGGGGATTGTGTGCAAGGTCCGCGGGGCTGGACTCATCCCTCTTCTTTGTCGGGGAGGGCCACACAACAGCCCAGGGGAACGAGTGGCCTTTCTGCTCCCACCTGCAATGCCCCCACGTCAAGCAGTCACAGAAGTGTGTGTGTGTGTGTGTGTGTGTGTGTGTGTGTGTGTGTGTATGAAGTCAGTCCAGGGACGCTGGGGTGACAGAGCTTATCTTACGCATTTTGGGCTGCTGTAAAAAAATCTGGTGAAGGCCCCTCCAGATGGCAGATTCCAGACGTGTCTATCCGCACACAGCGGGGAGCAGAGACAACAAGCTCTGCGTCGCTTCTTGTAAGGCACGAATGCCATCATGAGGACTCCACCCTCACGACCTCCTCACCTCCCAAAGACCCGCTCCAAATACCATCACACTGGGGTTTAGGGTTTCAGCATATGAGTTTTGTTGGAGGATAAATAGGCAGACCATACCATAGCATAGCCAGTATTCACTTGCATAAGGCAAGCACATGGTGTTGGAGTTGCTAGGGCTCCTCTCGTCCTCCACCAAGTCTTGAAAGTGTTTTGGGTAGCCCATGGGCAATGAATAAGGGGGCTTAGTACTTACAGTGGGGGCCATCCACCTGCCTTTACTCATACTAAAAGCCCTTTGCATCAAGCTTTTGACAGTAGCTTATTGAATAAGATTAATGATTGAATTAATTAGGCAAATTTTCATTCAAACAATCACTTTTTGATGTGAAGGAGAAATCCACTTTCACCATGAATTGTATGTAAATCAGGACATTGGCCTCTGGAACTATTTTGGAATTTTTTTGACCTTTCACACGAATTATCTTTTTGTTTTAAGGAACAGGGAAGATGTGAAGACATATGGTGAGAATTGCCTTGGGCTGAATGTGGCCCAAGTGGTGTGTGTGTGTGTGTCTGTGTGTCTGTGTGTGTGTGATGTAGTGTAGTGTGTGTGGTGTGTGTGGGTCAATGCCCAGTTCTTCTCAAAGCCCTTCCTTTCTGAGCTTGCTTTGCAAATCTGAAAATGGAAATTAGAATACGTGTTCTGTGTCCAGCACAGCACGGTTGTGAAGATCAATAAGATAATCTGTGTGGAAGTGCTATATAAACAATCAGCTGTAGTTTACATATGCTACGAAAGTCATCTGAACATTCATTGCCATTTGGCAACATCCCATCCCAGTTTACATCTTCAATTTCCTTTTGTGCTATTTATTTCAAAGGCCAGGGCGGGAAGTGTATCAGTCGTAGAACACGTTCACTTCCCAATCCCTGTGCCTTTGTCTTCTCCTCATTAGGAGACACTGGATTGGACTCTTCATGTTTACTAAGAGGGTCTCTGTAAAGGGCTCCTCTCATTTTGTGGCTTCTGCCTCTCCTCTTCAAAGCTAGGAAATCACTTCAGTGAAGAAATGAATTATGCATCAGTGTGTCAGGGCTAAGGAGAGAGTAAGGGGGCCAGCTCCACACCCCGAAGGGCTTGAGGATTATTTGGGAATTTAGTGTGGAAGTTGTTGGGCTGGATAGGATAAGGGAGGGAGGAAGGTAAGGTTTGGGGTGTGTGTGGTTTGTGTGTGATGTAAGGTGCATGTGAGTGGTGTGTATGTGTATATGTGTGGTGTAGTGTGTGTGAAATATGGTGTGGTGTGTGTTTGTGGTGTGGTATGTGTGGTGTGGTGTATGTGTGGTGTGTGAGTGTGGTGTGTTTGTGTGTGGTATGTGTGTGATATGGTGTGGTGTATGTGTGGTGTGGTGTATGTGTGGTGTTTGTGTGGTATGTGTGTGATATGGCGTGGTGTGTGTGTGGTGTGTGTATGTGATATGTTGTGTATGTGTGGTGTGGTATGTGTGTGGTGTATGTGTGATGTGTTGTGTGGTGTGTGTGTGTGATGTGTGTGTGTGATGTGGTATGTGTGTGGTGTGTGAGTGATGTGGTATGTGTGTGGTGTGTGTGTGATGTGGTATGGTGTGGTGTGTGTGTGATGTGGTATGTGTGTGGTGTGTGTGTGATGTGGTATGGTGTGGTGTGTGTGTGATGTGATATGTGTGTGGTGTGTGATGTATGTGTGTTGTGTGTGTGTGATGTGGTCTGGGTGGTGTGTGTGATGTGGTATGGTGGTGTGTGGTGTGTGTGGTGCAGTGCGATGTGTGCGGTGTGTGTGTGGTGTGGTGTCCTGTGGTGTGGTGTCAGTGGAAATGATCCTATGTTTCTTGGGGACTGGGGCCTCAAGGCTTGAGTTCCTGGATTCCACCACCAGAAGGGGCTCTGATAACGCCCAGGCCCTGTCACCCCAGCTATGGCTGCATGGCCCTTTGTGGCCACTGGTGTAAGCACAATGCTTTGGCAACACTGGTTGTATACTAAACACAATTCAGTGTCAGGTGTCCCGTAAGCACAAGGGTGGCCCCAGGAAGGAGCTAGGCCGTAGACGGAAGTGTGGGTGGGGCTGCTCCTCGGGTGGAAGGGAGTGTGGAACAGTGCAGACAGTGTGCAGAGCATGAGCAAGCCTGTTTCTGCATGACTGAGGTGAGTCCTACTGGAGGCCAGTGCTCTCGAAGGTAGTGGTGAGCTGCTGAGAAGTGTGTCAGAAGACATAGGGGCCTGATGGACTGGGAAGGTGAAGAGTGGTTTGGGGTCACTGAGGCTGGGTGTAGTGGAGAAGGGGTTGGCAGCCGCCGACTTGATGATTTAGAACACGTGGGATGGTCGAGGCCGTGGGGACAGGGTCTTGCTGACTCTGGGGTTAAGCAAACGTTATATCCCAGCTTAGAATGATGTGTTATCAAAACACATTTAAATTACTCCATTGCTTTACTATTTAATTTATATTTGTTTAATCCATGTTCTAAATCTCTTGGTTCTTCACTGGTAAGCTTCCAGTAGACAGAAACCATTTGTCCGGTGGTTTCGTGCAGCTTTGAATAGAGGGCCCTGTGTAGGATCATAGCCTCCTTTTTATCCTGACTTGAGCACTCATTTGGGTAAATGCAGTTGATTTCTGAAATGTTTGGTAAAATACTGTGGTTGGTTGGGTAATTTTCTGTGGCCGAAAAGATCATCTTTTAGGCCCCACCTAGGTTACTAATATCCTTATGAAAACGTATGAGAATTTCCTATGAGTTGTTAATTTTTTAATCAAAATACTTTGTCTATTTTTTATTTTGTTATTGAAAATAGATGAAGCAATTAGAACGTTTTGGGGCCTAATTGCTTGCCAAATATAACTTGCTTCCAAACTGAAATGGTCTTGGAGCTGTACTGCCACAAACAGTGTTTGCAACCAGTAAGCTATATTTATTTTTAGCTTTTGAAACAGCCAAATAGTTTGCCCTCAATTTTCAGAGGAAAAAAATTCCTTCTGGGCTAAAGCCTTGTGTGCTGAGCATCTTAATGCTGGACCATTCCCATCTGAACCCAAATAGTGGAAAACAAAGGTTTCTAGTGATTCACTCTTAATAACAGTTTGGCTGGTGTCATTGCTTATTAAATGCTAGGTTCTTAAATTATAATGAAGGACGTAGTTATAGGCTGAGTAGATTTAGTCAAGCACATGAAACCAGGAGGCATTACCACACTGTGAGCAATTAGGCGGGGGCAGGGCTGAGCCCGCTGGGTCAGAGCCTGAGATAAGCTTTCCGATGCGAGATTATGTGGCTTCGGGTTGACCTTGGATATGGGAACTTGAGCCAAAGAAATGATCAATCTGATTTCAGATCTGGTTGAGTGGAGGAAAAGGGGCATATGTCCCAAGCCTTGTGTTCTAGACATGCTATCTCCTTTAATCTGATTTAATTGGCAGGTACCAGTATTCTCTCCTTGTTGGACCATGAGGTCCCACAGGCTGAGGGGCAAGTCACCTGCCTGGGGTGTCGCAGCTTTGGTCAGCAGCAGTGCCGGGACTCAGACTTGGCCTGCCCAGCCGTAGGGCTCCCGCCCTTCCATGGCTGCATGCTGTCTGTATAAAGCAGTAGTTTGATAAGTTTTTGAAAAGTTTTGCTATGTTTTGAATGTAGATGGATTTAGTTCTAGTTGGCTGTAGAGTTAGCAAAGTAGGTGTGTGTATATTTTTAAACAACTCAAAACTTTGCTTTTGTTATGGCTGAGTGGAAGTGGGCATTGACCTTTGGCCTGTCCTCATGCATTTACCCAATTTCAGATTCTTGCTATGTTAGGTCACAGGCCAGGTCTCCCTGGTTTCACCCAGTGTGGCCAGCACAGGTCACCCCTGGACGCCCTGGTGCTGGAAGAAGATCACAGGGACGTCCTCTCTCTTCATGTCCTGGAGTGGCTTTTATTTCAGTCTGTACCAGAAAATTTCCAGGACAAAACTGTGATCAGAACCAAGGAGTAAGCAGCCCCATTTTGATGTAGTTGGGTGCTGGGTGAGTTTGCAAGTGTGAATGGGCTGCGGGAATTCGCCGGTGTGTGCTGTCTTCCCTTCCTTACCCTTCCTGCCGTGTAATGTTGTTTTTACCCGTGAAATCTGCAGCCTTGTCAATCTCTCCATGCAAACTTCAGGGAAGAGGGTGTCATGCCACATTCTGGTAGAGTGAGAACATGGGTTTGAGCATCCGATGCTCCTGGCTTTGAATTCTAACTCTGTGGCTTCCCGGCTGTGTGACTTGGGGCAGCTACTCTGAGCCTTTGTTTTCTCTTCTGTAAAAGGTAATAATCGTAACCCCTGCCTCCTAGGATTGCTGTGAAAAAGAAAATGTTTGTAAGGCTCTAAGGATAGCACCCAGCACATATAATTCAGTGTGATTATACATTATTTAGTTTTAAAATTTTGGGGTATTAGACATCCTTGAGGCCAGGCTGGCATATTTATTTCTTGAAGGCATTGTATGCAGAAGACAAGGAAGCTAGTCCTTTGGAGTTTTAATGCTACTGCTGGCTTCTTCCGTGACTGAAAGGAACTCCTTTTCTCCATCTGTGCCCACCTGCAGCATCTGTCACATTCATCCTGTCTGGGGTTTGGGGCTGTGTGAGAGTAAGTCATGATCCTGGAATCGCCCCTGCGGGGTGGCTCTGTGTTTTCCTACGTCCAGCCCCAGGGACACAAGAAGGAAAACTTCTGAGAGATTCTCACCAAATGCGGAGGAACTGGAGCCCCACAGAGCCAGGTCCTGCTGTGCTAGGGAGACCTCTGAGGCCCAGTAGTGAGGGACACAGTGATATGTGCCTTCTGGAGGGGGGCCTGGGGACTGGGGAGTCGGGGTTGGGGTGACAGGAGAATACCCAGTCTTTGCAGAAAGCCGGGACCCAGGCTCGCCTCTGACCCTGGGCTGGTGTGACCATAGAACTCTGTCGGGGCTGCACGAGTGTTCTGGCCTCTGTGTTTGCATGAGGGCTGCAGTTCTCAGAGGAGGAATGCTCAGAGCCTTCCATGCTGCTGAGCTTGGGCTCCCGGGAGGGGCAGAGATTCGAAGGCCAGGCGTAGTGACCGAAGCACACCCGTCTGCTCCTCACACGCGGAGTGTTTAACTATTGCTGAGAAGGTATTTCAGAGAGTTATGACTCTTGCTACCACCAGAGCTGGGACGGGCTAACCTTCCGCAGGCACTGACTATGTTGTGGGCAGTGTGCTAACTACCATATATGTGTATGTTGACATGCATGTGTATAGTCTAATTGAATCCCATGAGGAAGACATTTCAAGCCCCATTTTCTAGTAAGGAGGACTGAAGCAGTGGAAAGGGCAGAGATGATGGGGTCAGCCCAGGTCTGCACAGCGGACAGCTGGTGAAGCCAACTCCAGGTATGCCTTGCCCAAAGCCCTGGCTCTGAAACGCCATTGCCAGGTGGCCAGAGCCTTCTAGTAGAAGCCGTTAGGAGTAGGGCAGGCAGAAGCACTCGCTCTTACTATGTATGAGGCCTGGATTTAGCTTCTCAATCTTGGTGTTCTTACGGGGTGTCTGTGAGGAGGGCTGATTTCATATTTAAATTGTATAAATAAGCATTGTTGGATAAATAAGCATTGTTGGACATTTATTACATATAAAACTCGGTTTTCTTTCTTTTCCTCTTTCTCTGCTGTTGAAAATGAAAATAGAAAATGCCTAAAGGCAAAGATTTTCTCCTAGCAGGTTCCACTGAGATTACCCAAGACCTGTAATATATATGAGGAATTGAACTGAATTCTCAGTCACTTCCATGTGTGTGTATGTGTGTGTGTGTGTGTGTGTGTGATTTAATGTTTGAGTTGTTGCCATGTCCCTTTGATAGGTCATGTTTACTGAGGTTGTTAATAAAATGTCTAAATATTTGTCATGTAATAAAGCTGAACCCAAATGCAGGAAACTGAAGCGTTGTAATATAGTGGAAGTCTGGGACAGATAAACAGTCAATAAGAAAGAAAATAGCTAGAGTTCAAAATTACCAAACAGGCACTCAGGAGAAGAATAACCTTTTGAAAGAATGTGGGAGAAGCAATTTTGAAAAACACTGTGGTGCTCCTGGTCCCATCCCAAACCTTCTCATGTCTCTGCATTACCTCTGTTCAGCACAACACCTTTGGGTTATTAATCTTTCTGTTCCTTTTTTCTATACAAAGTGATCCCCTGGCACTATATGAGACTGACTTCTATGAATGTAGAATCTTTCATCTGAAAGCAAAAAATTCGTCTGAACAAGACAAGTTTGGATGAAAGGAGAGGCAGTGGGCACTTTCAACTTTCCTGCTTGTAATTTATGACATCTATAGTCTTATTTTGCAAATGCAAGTCTTGTGCTATCTCAGAAACCTCAAGGAAGAGACTATAATTAGGCTTCAACTTCTGGTTAGGACCCTCCAAAGCCTGAAAACCAGGGTGAATTCCTGAGACTACCACAGCAAAGTGTGCTGTTCTCCCAGAACTACCCTCGCCCTGTGTCCTGCCCTCCCTGTTGCTCTGCCTTTGCTCCTTCCGACAGCCTCCTTGTAGGTGGGACTGAGCTCCCCTAGCCAAGCCAGACCCCACCTTCTTCTCCTTGTGGAGGGCTGTTTTGCCACAGCTTCATTCTCATTGGTAAACATCAATTTCCATATTGATATCACAGTGCCTATTGTACAAGAGCCTAGTGAACACTTCTACTTGAATTCTTTCGCCTGCCTCTGCCTTGGACATGTCTGAGTTCTAACCTCATCGTTCCTGCAAGCTTTTAGGGCTGGAAGGTGTGAAGGATCTTCCTGTGGCTCCCCCTGGGCTCTGCGTGCAGTGGCTGGGTAGGCTCCCGGTTCAGACTCACTCCGGCATTCATCCTCCCTCGGCAAGTGTTCACCTCCAGGTGCCGCCCGTGGGAGGGGCAGTGGACCAGGTTGCCAACGGTCCTGGGACTCCCCTGGAGGACCTGCCACCCTGCAGTGCAGCTCGGGAGACACTGTCACAAGACTGCAGGCCCACACTGCACCGCACTCTGTACTTGGGAAGGGATTATTGACCCATTGTTCATTTCTTGGCCATCGAAAAATATACATTTTTTTTTTTTCAGGAAGGCCTTGGCATCTCTTATTTTGACTAAGCAGGCAAATTAACTTTTCTCTTTTATACTATACTTTTAAGTAAAGGCCTTAACCAGAGCTGGCAGTTTGGGTCTTTGCCATGTGAGACTTGAGAAATAGACACACATTTTTCAAGGATGTAATCAAGAAGACTTTAGTTACATGCACGATTAATGCTAGGAATAAAAAACTATGCAAAAAAATTAATAAATCTGCTAATTGCTTTTGGTGACATGTGTTTAATGAGATCTTTTTAGCCTTGACTTATTTTATTTACATTTGACTTACATACATTTGGGTCCTTAGCCAAAGTGAAACTGAAAAACAACTCACTGCAAAGATGGAGAGGACTAAGAAAACTATTTTTTTCTTAACTGGGCTTGAAAAAACCTTTTTCATTAAAAGAGAAGTTTTAATGTGGAATAGTTTGTGTTTTGCTTTGATCCAAAGAAACTACTAACCATTTTTTAAAAATAGAAAGTGGTTATTATGTTGTATGTTCATAATAAAGGATTCCAAGGCTACCAATGAACAGAGAATTAGCTAGGTCAAACCAGAAAAGCAGTCACATGGCTCTGCTTCCCAAGGTCCAGGAAATTTGAGGGAACCACTTATAACAGCTTTCCATTTTGTGGTCTTTCAACTCAACCTTAAGTTACAATTCACAATAACATGGAAACTAAAGTGGGGGAGAGTGAGGAGAAGGAGAAGGGGATAAATTAAGAATAACAACCACTATATTCTTGAAATTCATGCTATCAAAAACAGTTTTACTAATAGTCTGAAATATCAAGTAAGATTTGAAAAATTATTTTTTAATATTTCTCAGAATATGCTTTACTTTATAGATTTAATGATCATGGCATATCAGTTTCCTGTTGCTATTGTAACAAATTACCACAGACCTAGTGGCTTAAAGCAGCACAAGTTTGTTAGCTTGCATTTCTATGCACCAGAAGTCCAACATGGGTCTTACTTGGCTAAAATGGAGATGTAGCCCAGACTGTGTTCCTCTCTGCAGGTTTGAGGGGAAAGCCCACGGTTCTTCCAGCTTCAAGTGGTTGTCCGAATTCTTTGACTCATGGCCCCTTCCTCTACCTGAGCCTGCAGTGACAGTTCCTCCTCACATCACATCACCTAGATGGGCTCTTCTGGTCTCCTTTTCCACATTTAAGGATCTGTGATCACATTGGACCTCCTGATAATACAATATAATCTCCCTTCTTAAGGCCAGCTGATTAGCACCCTTAATTCCATCTGCCACCTCCATTCCCTATGGCCATGTGACGTCACATATTCACGGGTTCTGGGAATCAGGGTGCTGGCCATCTTTGGGGACCATTATTCTGCCTCCCTCCTGTGTTATTGCTTAGGCTTTCAATGTAGTCTGTAGTTGAGAATGGAAATGCAAAAGGTAAAAGATGTTTACCCAAAGCCTTTAGGTATTTATTCCTTTCTCAGGATTTTACGTGACATAAGTGTTTATGATGTTTTGATAGAAATATGTTATTTCATAGGTTTCTCACCTCTGAAACAGAATAGCCATTCTATCTTGTTAGGTTTACAGAATAAGGTGAACATTATTTCTCGTTCCCTTTGATTAGAGAGTTAGACGTAATCAGATGCCTTAGAGAAACTCATACCGGGACTGAAGGCTCCTCTCCAGGGGCATGAGGCAGATGAGAGCTGGACTCTAGGCAAGCCAGAAACATGCCTCAACTAACAAGTTATTTTATGGACATCAAGAAAGTCACTCTAAAGTTTATATAAAAAGGTAAAAGACCTAGGATAGTTAACACAATATTGAAAAAGAGCAGAGTCAGAGGACCGATGCTACTCCATTTCAAAATTTACTATAAAGCTATAGTAATCAAGTAGATGTGGTATGGCCAAGGAACACAGGAGAAAATTTAGATGACCTTAGGTTTGGCAATGACCTTTTAAATGCAACACTAAAACCATGATCTATGAAATAATTTCATTGATAGTCATAAGACTGTTCAGGATTTCTATTTTATCTTAAGTCAGCTTTGGCAAGTGTTTCATTTTCTACATAATAAATTACCCTCAAACTTAGTAGCTTTCAATCGTCATTTTTATTATATTTTTGATTCTGTAGATCAGAATCCTGTCAAGTCACCATGGAAATAGCTTGTTTCTGTTTCATGATGTCTGGAGCTTTCTCTTGACAGACTCCATAGCCAGAGGTTGGAGTCATCCAAAGGCATCTTTACGCACTTACCTGAGGATTGACACCGGCTGTCAGCTGAGATTTCAGCCTTGGCTTCTATAGAGCATGGTGGCTTACAGTAGACTTCTTAAAAAGTGTTTCATTACCAGCTTAAGGAGATTTTGGGCTGAGACGATGGGGTTTTCTAGATATACAATCATGTCATCTGCAAACAGGGACAATTTGACTTCCTCTTTTCCTAATTGAATACCTTTATTTCTTTCTCCTGCCTGATTGCCCTGGCCAGAACTTCCAACACTGTGTTGAATAGGAGTGGTGAGAGAGGGCATCCCTGTCTTGTGCCAGTTTTCAAAGGGAATGCTTCCAGTTTTTGCCCATTCAGTATGATATTGGCTGTGGGTTTGTCATAAATAGTTCTTATTATTTTGAGATACATCCCATCAATACCTAATTTATTGAGAGTTTTTAGCATGAAGGGCTTTTGAATTTTGTCAAAGGCCTTTTCTGCATCTATTGAGATAATCATGTGGTTTTTGTCTTTGGTTCTGTTTATATGCTGGATTACATTGATTGATTTGCATATGTTGAACCTGCTTTGCATCCCAGGGGTGAAGCCCACTTGATCATGGTGGATAAGCTTTTTGATGTGCTGCTGGATTCAGTTTGCCAGTATTTTATTGAGGATTTTTGCATCAATGTTCATTAGGGATATTGGTCTAAAATTCTCTTTTTTGGTTGTGTCTCTGCCAGGCTTTGGTATCAGGATGATGCTGGCCTCATAAAATGAGTTAGGGAGGATTCCCTTTTTTTCTATTGATTGGAATAGTTTCAGAAGGAATGGTACCAGCTCCTCCTTGTACGTGTGGTAGAATTCGGCTGTGAATCCATCTGGTCCTGGACTTTTTTTGGTTGGTAAGCTATTAATGATTGCCTCAATTTCAGAACCTGTTATCGGTCTATTCAGAGATTCAACTTCTTCCTGGTTTAGTCTTGGGAGGGTGTATGTGTGGAGGAATTTATCCATTTCTTCTAGATTTCTAGTTTATTTGTGTAGAAGTGTTTATAGTATACTCTGATGGTAGTTTGTATTTCTGTGGGATCGGTGGTGATATCCCCTTTGTCATTTTTTATTGCATCTATTTGATTCTTCTCTCTTCTTTATTAGTCTTGCTAGCTGTCTATCAATTTTGGATTCTTTGATTTTTTGAAGGGTTTTTTATGTCTCTATCTCCTTCAATTCTGCTCTGATCTTAGTTATTTCTTGCCTTCTGCTAGCTTTTGAATGTGTTTGCTCTTGCTTCTCTAGTTCTTTTAATTGTGCTGTTAGGGTGTCAATTTTAGATCTTTCCTGCTTTCTCTTGTGGGCATTTAGTGCTATAAATTTCCCTCTACACATTGCTTTGAATGTGTCCCAGAGATTCTGGTATGTTGTGTCTTTGTTCTCATTGGTTTCAAAGAACATCTTTATTTCTGCCTTCATTTCATTATGTACCCAGTAGTCATTCAGAAGCAGGTTGAGGATACAAAATCAATGTGCAAAAATCACAAGCATTCTTATACACCAATAACAGACAGAGAGCCAAATCATGAGTGAACTCCCATTCACAATTGCTTCAAATATCTAGGAATCCAACTTACAAGGGATGTGAAGGACCTCTTCAAGGAGAACTACAAACCACTGCTCAACTAAATAAAAGAGGACACAAACAAATGGAAGAACATTCCATGCTCATGCATAGGAAAAATCAATATGGTGAAAATGGCCATACTGCTCAAGGTAATTTATAGATTCAATACCATCCCCAACAAGCTACCAATGACTTTCTTCACAGAATTGGAAAAAACTACTTTAAAGTTCATATGGAACCAAAAAAGAACCCGCATTGCCAAGTCAATCCTAAGCCAAAAGAACAATACTGGAAGCACCACGCTACCTGACCTCAAACTATACTACAAGGCTACAGTAACCAAAACAACATGGTACTGGTACCAAAACAGAGATATAGACCAATGGAACAGAACAGAGCCCTCAGAAATAATACCACACATCTACAACTATCTGATCTTTGACCAACCTGAGAAAAACAAGAAATGGGGAAAGGATTCCCTATTTAACAAATGGTTCTGGGAAAACTGGCTAGCCACATGTAGAAAGCTGAAACTGGATCCCTTCCTTATACATTATACAAAAATTAATTCAAGATGGATTAAAGACTTAAATATTAGACCTAAAACCATAAAAACCCTAGAAGAAAACCTAGGCAATACCATTCATTCAGGACATAGTCATGGGCAAGGACTTCATGTCTAAAACACCAAAAGCAATGGCAACAAAAGCCAAAATTGACAAATGGGATCTAATTAAACTAAAGAACTTCTGCACAGCAAAAGAAACTACCATCAGAGTGAAGAGGCAACCTACAGAATGGGACAAAATTTTTGCAATCTACTCACTGACAAAGGGCTAATATCCAGAATCTACAAAGAACTCAAATAAATTTACAAGAAAAAAATAAACAACCCCATCAAAAAGTGGGCAAAGGATATGAACAGACGCTTCTCAAAAGAAGACATTTATGTAGCCAGCAGACACATGAAAAAATGCTCATCATCACTGGCCATCAGAGAAATGCAAATCAAAACCACAATGAGATATCATCTCACACCAGTCAAAATAGTGATCATTAAAAAGTCAGGAAACAACAGGTGCTGGAGAGGATGTAGAGAAATAGGAACACTTTTACACTGTTGTTGGGACTGTAAACTAGTTCAACCCTTGTGGAAGACAGTTGTGGTGATTCCTCAAGGATCTAGAACTAGAAATACCATTTGACCCAGCCATCCCATTATTGGGTATATACCCAGAGGATTATAAATCATGCTGCTATAAAGACACATGCACACGTATGTTTATTGCGGCACTACTCACAACAGCAAAGACTTGGAACCAACCCAAATGTTCAACAATGATAGACTGTATTAAGAAAATGTAGCACATATACACCATGGAATACTATGCAGCCATAAAAAATGATGAGTTCATGTCCTTTGTAGAGACGTGGATGAAGCTGGAAACCATCATTCTCAGCAAACTATTGCAAGGACAAAAAACCAAACACCGCATGTTCTCACTCATAGGTGGGAATTGAACAATGAGAACACTTGGACACAGGAAGGGGAACATCACACACTGGGACCTGTTGTGGGGTTGGGGGAGAGCAGAGGGATAGCATTAGGAGATATACCTAATGTAAATGATGAGTTAATGGGTGCATCACACCAACATGGCACATGTATACATATGTAACAAACCTGCACGTTGTGCACGTGTACCCTAGAACTTAAAGTATAATTATATATATACATATATATGTAGTTCAGGTTTCCAAAAGCAAGTGTCCCAGTGGACAAAATAGAAACTTCACTGCCTTCTATGATTTATCTTTGGAAGTTGCACAACATCAGTTCCCAGGAATTATATGATTACATGCAGTAATTAAAATCGGCTGAAATTTATGGGGAAACATAACACTAGGTTATATTCTTCCAGAAATTTCTCCATTTTATTATTTTAAAATTTATTGGTATAGTTATTGTTAGAATTATGTTTATCTTAATTTGTTCACCAGCAGTAGAAAAAAATTACGTTTATGTTTTAAATATTTGCTCAAACTGTAATTATCTGCATTTATGTTATATATTTGTGTCTTTTTTCTTAAAGTCAATATATTTGTAATTTTTTTAAACAAACTTATGGATTTGTTGATTCTCTCTATTTTAACTTTGTTTTTTATTTTGTTGCTTTCTGCTCCTTTCTTTTAACTCCTTTGGGTTCATTCTGTTTTTCCTATTTTTTAAAAAATTAAAAATTATTTTCTAGTGGCAGGGTTTTGCTCTGTCACCCAGGCTGGAGTGCAGTGATATGATCATAGCTCACTGTAACTTCAAACTCCTGGGCTCAGTAATTCTCTTGCCTCAGCCTCCTGAGTAGCTAGGACTGTAGGCACATGTCACCACACCTGGCTAATTTAAAAATTTTGCTGTATAGATAGGATTTCAGATCACTTCTTGGCCTTTTGGCTGAGCTCAAGTGAGATGGGATTTCACTGCATTGTCCAGGCTGGTCTCAAATTCCTGGGCTCAAGTGATCCTCCTGCCTTGGCCTCCCAAAGTGTTGGGAGTACAGGTGTTAGCCACCATTCCCAGTCCTGTTTTTCCTATTTTTTCTCACTTTTGGCTTTATACATAATTCTTGGTCAACTATTATTTTCTTTTAACATGTTGTAGTTATTCCACTTATCTTCTGGTCTCCATTATTGTTGAAAAGTTTGCCTTTGTTTATTTCAGCTGCCCTTCCAAGTGATATAGCCCTTCTTGCTCTGTATATTCATGATGTTCTCAATTTTGGTGCTCTCTAGTTTCACTGTGAGTGATCTCTTTATCAAGTTTTCTCAGGATATGTAGTGATTGTTGGGTCCATGGATTCATAGTTAATATAATTTCTGGAAAATCTGCAGCCAGACATTGTATCTTCAAAATTCTCTCAATTTCCTCTTTTGGATGTCACTTAGTAGGTATTATATCTTCTCACCTTCTATATGTCTTCAGCTCTTCATATTTTTCATTTTTTTCTCTCTTTGCTATATTCTAAATTCTTTGAATATGCCTTCCAGTTCACTAATTCTCTTGTCAACTGTATCTAATCTCTGTAAAATTTAGCCCAATTATTTGAGATTTTGAATCCAATAATTATACATTTTATTCTTGGAGGTTAGTATTTAAAAATTCTGTCTGTTCATTATTAATTGTTTATTTTTATATACTCATTTTTGTAATTTCATCCTTCATTTCCTTAAACATTTCATATAAAGTTCTTTAGTATGTTGTATCTCTTGCTGAATAGCTAAACTTCTGGTGTGTTTGGCAACACACCAAACACACCAGTGGGTTGCCAGGGAAGCAACACGCCTGACCTGGGGGAAGCTTTCTTCCCAGGAGAATTTATTCTTCTATGAATAGCTTGGGGGCATCCCTACTTAGGGTCTACTTCAGCCTTTCCTGAAGGTTTTGTGTTAGAATGGATATCTCAAACTTGGCTTCCTCCTCAATGATCTTCTGTAGGTCAACATTCCTACAACTGTCTAGCCATATAACCAAGGACTCAGGGTAGCCAACCTCCACTGTGGGTCCATGTTGCTTAATTCCCACATTGACTCTACCCTCTGGCTTTCTGCTGTTCTGCCCATGCTTCCTGGTGTTCTTGCCCTGACAATTCTACCTGCCAAATCCTTAACTCTTGCCTACTCCAGCCCTACCCTTTCCACTCTCCCCCACAACAAGCTCTAGCTCTTATTTGTTGTTTGTTGTTGTTTTTTGGAGTTGTCCCTAAAGAACTCTCCTACATTTTGGAAGAGTAGAAACACCTCAAAGAGTGTCATATCTGTTTCTGTGGACTAGTTGTGGCTAGGAAGTTTCCCCAGCATGCCTAGCTACTCATGAGACCAGAAATGGAGGCCTACTCTGTTTTCATTCTTGGGTTTTAAATTTTTCTGAATAGAATTTCCACTTACCAATAAAACTTAAAGGATGGAATTGAGCACATCCTCTTTATCAAAATCAAAAGGAAGGAACTTAGAGATTTCTCATGTTGCATAGAATTTATCTTTCATGGAAACTCCAATAGATGGGCCTTGGCTTCCTGTAATGCTGGTTGAAAAGAATTCTAAGGCCATGTCCAGACTTAGTGGAAATAGACCATGATTAACGAGCATTGTCCTCTAAAGGTATAGGAAGGTGGAATGACAGCACATGAACTTCATAGCTCATCCTTGAATATCATTTAGTTCAAACTTTGGATTTCACAGATGAGAGAAATGAATTCAGCTTAATTAATTGACCTGCCCAAGGCCACATAGTGAAAGTGGCTACTAAGATGACTAAGATGAAGTCTTCAAAACTCAGTCCAGCACATGTTCCTCTATGCTAGACCTCACACAAGAGTTCTCCTTCCCATTTCCCTATTATTGTCAGTGATACTGTTGATTATCCAGGAATTCCTGGTCAAAACCTAGAAATTGTGCTATTCATTCCAGTCTTTCATCCTTCAACAGGTGAATCTGTTGCTTTAGTCTTTGAAATAAATCACAACTTTCCTTTCCTTTCCTATCTCTTTGCATCACTGTAGTCAGGGACATCAACTCAACCTAAGTTTCTGTGAATGTTGTTGCTCTCACTGTCTCTGGACTCGTTCTAACCATTGTGAAACATAGAAGGTGGCCAGGCTCGGTGGCTCATGCCTATAATCCCGGCACTTTGGGAGGCCGAGGTGGACAGATCACCTGAAACCCCATCTCTACTAAAGATACAAAAATTAGCCGGGTGTGGTGGCAGGTGCCTGTAATCCCAGCTACTCAGGAGGCTGAGGCAGGAGAAGTGCTTGAATCTGGGGGGCAGAGGTTGCAGTGAGCCGAGAGGGCATCACTGCACTCCAGCCTGGGCAAGAGTGAGACTCTGCCTCAAAAAGAAAAGAAAAAAAAAGAAAAACATGGAAAGTTTTATATTGTTGTTAAATTTTTAGCTGTATGTTTCACATTTTTCCACAAGAGAAGCCCATTTAAGCTGTAAGCCTTGTAATTTTCTGATTCCATCACCCAGAGCCTTGGCCTTTGCACTCAGAACTTTTCTTTCCTGGCTCCTAATCTCTGGCATTTTGCCAACAGGGCTGGGAGGTGGCCAGGCCAGTGCCCTGGAGGCATAAAAAAGTGGCAGGCAGGGTTAGTGGCAATGGAAATAGAATGACCTGTGCTGTTGGGTTAATTGTAGATGATGATAATAGAATGAGCTACTCCTTTAAAGAAGGAATTTAGGTCCTAGAACTAAATTTATAGCCCCCTTTTTTTTATGGACTTGTGAGCAGATTTTCCCATTTCCCAGTTCAAGTGACCTATGCACACATTTTGAGTAGCAACAGGAAATGTGAGAGTCCAGTTATTTTACTCCCACTCTTTTCCTTGTCTTTCTGGGGGAAAATGCTTCCATACGCATAGTAATATACATATTTTAAACAAGAAAGAAGATAACAAGGTCAATAATGTAGGAATGAGTGGCGCAGTAGTCTTAAAAACAACCAAGAAGTCACATAGTTATCTGCAAAGAAAAAATAAAAAAGATCAACATGTAGTTAAACTCTTTGGAAACATTGCTTTAAATGAGACCTAAGTGGGCTTAGGAATCAGACATGAAATACTGCGGGAAGAATGTGAAGAGATCAGGGATTGGCATTTTTGATTACAAGAAATAAAGGTACATTACCAGATTTCTCCTGCCATACATGGTTTGAAAGCACATTTTAGATACAGCAAGACCAGTTTCCAATGACTAAATCTACTTAGGTCTAAGGCATGGTGAAATCTTCTCAACTGCAACCCTAGGGGGATGTCCCAGGAATGCATTGCTTTTCTTTCCCTTTGGAGTCCCAGCACCATGTCTTGGCACAGGAAACCCCTGGCCCTCTGGACTGGCTCCTGACCATGCAATGCTGTGCATCTCTGTGGCTCTGTCCCTTCCCCCATTTCCCCTTAACCTATGGAGCTTGGTGTCTGTGTTCTGTGGCCAAGTGTGGCTCAACTCTTCCCCAGGGTGTGGACTATTCCTGATTTAATAGTGGGTCCTTAGAGCAGCTCAGCTTGGCTTGTTTGTCCTGCCTGAAATGACGCTCAGCACACAGTGGGCTCTACTGCAGGGTGCTGGGGTGCTCTGTGGCTCTAAGCGATACTTCACACCACCATAAACACCATCCTCCCATGTAAAGTTCAGTTGGAGTCTTTGGTTGCCAGGCAATGCTATTTAATGAGGGTAAAGAGTGCTTGAACACATCTACAACTTGGCAGCCCTTCTACTTCTTATAAGCTACCATATGCATTGGAGACAAAAGTCTTCCATAGGCTACTTTTTAATGGGACAAGTTTACTTAAGAGCTGAGAGGAGATGGTGCCAGTAGTCTTGTTTTGTTCCTGTCCAATATTAGCCTTGTCAAAAGTCTTATAGAGTTTCCTGGGTATTTCTTTATTACATTCCATGTAAAGCTCTCTTGGGGAGCCAAGAATTTTGGCTGTAGTATATATAGAGGGCTCATAATATGGGCGTGTGTGCAAGTGTGTTTGTTTTTGAGTTTTAGAGGTAGCCCTATAAAAAGGCAATGCAATAATGATGAAGTTCTTGCTATTTCCTTCTTACTGTTGATGAAATTCATCAACCTCCTTGCTGATGGAAGTGCAGTCTCTTGCTAAAGTCTGGATGTCCTGTTAGATTTGCATTAATAGAACAACGAAACACATGTTACACTCAATACTATTTTAATTAAAATTAATACATGCCTTTTAGTTAGAGTGGGTAATATACGTTTGAACTGGGTTAAAAATTATTTTTCTCATGGTACATTTTGGAAGGAACTATGTCTTTTAAATGAATGCCTATCAGCTGGCCATCTCTTCCACGAATTCCTGAAAGGTGCTGGGAGGTTATGCAGGGGTCTAACTTTTTGAGCACTCTTTATAAAAGGCTACATAGGTTTGCTTCTCTCTGGCTGAGGACCCGCACTGGCTCTCTGGAAGCATGATGAATGCAGTGATTCCTCCTAGTTTGGGCCCTGGGACCTACCACTTCACCCAGGTCTTCAACTGGTCTTGGTTTGTTTTCCGTTTATCATCTGTATGACTGGATCTGAGTGTATATGCTAATGACATGATCTGTAGTATTGTTCAGGTCTGTTGAGATACTAGGTGACGTTTCAACATGGAAACATGTCTGAGACAGACCACATGTGAGTGAAAGGAAAGTCCAAGAGCCACTCTCAGAAGCAGGGGCTCAGAAGCTCAAGGAGGCTTGCCTGGGTCTGAAGATGTCTGCAAGGAGCAAGTGCTGAATATCTGGATCGGAGAAGAACTACGCTCTTCCAGGGTAGTGGGTCAAAACTAGTTTTAGCCCTATTTCCTTTTCATTCATTCATTCAGCCAATATTTATTGGCTGTGTACTTGAGTACTCTGTGCCAGGCATGCTATTTCTTTGGGTACTGGGCCGTGAATATGAATGGAACGAAATCTTCTCTTTCCCTAAAGACACTGCCTATTGATGGGGAAGGCAGAGGCATGCAAACAGTTTTAGTCCTTCAATCATGCAATACATATTTGCTGTTGCCTGTTATATACCAAGCACTGTTCTAGGTGTGTTGAGGGTACAGCAGAGAACAAAATAGGCAATTCTTATTCTTGCCTTTATGAAACTTATTTTCTAGTCAATAATGACAATTTGATGCCACCAGACCCTGCCAGGCTGCCTGCTTCTGTCAGGAAAGGTTTCACAGAGGAGGAAGCAGCTCAACTATAATGCAGGTGATTAGTAGGTCTACTTTCTGTCTCTGTGGAATTGCCTATGAATGGGCATTTCATATAGATAGAATCATATACTATGACATCTTTTGTGGCTGGCTTCTTTAATGGAGCACGGTGTGTTTGAGGGTCATCCACAGTGTGGTATGCATCAGTACTTCATTTTTAAAAATCACCTGGCCAGGCACAATGGCTTGTGCCTGTGACCCCAACACTTTGGGAGCCGGAGGTGGGCGGATCACTTGAGGCCAGGAGTTCAAGACCAGCCTGGCCAACATGGTGAAACCCTGTCTCCACTGAAAACACACAAAAATTAGCTGGGCATAGTGGCACACACCTGTAATCCCAGCTACTTGGGAGGCTGAGGCAGGAGGATCATTTGAATCTGGGAGGCAGAGGTGGCAATGAGCCGAGATCGTGCAGTGCCACTGTACTCCAGCCTAGGTGGCAGAATGAGACTGTCTCAAAAAAAAAAAAAATCACTGAATAATATTGTATTTTTTTTTCGAGACAGAGTCTTGCTGTGTCGCTCAGGTTGGAGTGATGTGGTATGATCTCGGCTCACTGCAACCTCTGCCTCCCACGTTCAAGCAATTCTCCTGCCTCAGCCTCCTGAGTAGCTGGGACTACAGCCACGCACCACCATGCCTGACTAATATTTGTATTTTTAGTAGAGACGGGGTTTCACCACGTTGGCCAGGCTGATTTTGAACTCCTGGCCTCAAGTGATCCGCCGACCTTGGCCTCCCAAAGTGCTGGGATTACAGACGTGAGCCACTGCGCCCAGCCTCCCAAGCCTTTTTTATAAGAGCACTAATTCTATTCATGAGGACTTCACTCTCATGACTTAATCACCTCTTTTTAAAAAATTTATCAAAAAACAAAACCAAATAGGAGTTTACTGAAAGCACGTACATTTTGGTAGCTCTGATTAGAAGAAATTAACTTAGAAATACCATTACTCAGGAAAACAATATGTACAAAATCTCAGGAAAGGGAGAATAAGGCAACTTGCAAAGAATTCAACTTGAACAGGCCTGAATTACTACAAATGTCATGCGGCAAAATCATACAAAACACAACAGAGAGGCATTCATGAGAAAACTGTGTGCTTCAGGCCTGGGAGTGAGCACTCTAGTTTCCAGTTTCTTGGAGAACAGCCCATGATTCTCTGGGGCAGAGAGGCTGGCTGGAGCATGATGGTCTCACTGCCAACTGCGCGGAACTAACCCACGCCCTGTGTACAGGCTAAACATGTGGAAGGAGGCCACCAGATGAGTCACCCCCATGAATCCTGGAAGAGAGGAGTGCTCTCTGCAGAGTGTACAGACCTAGCAGGGACCGCTGGACCACGATGGCATAGAGATGATTACTCTGTGCCTGTCACTGAAAACCCTAGACTAATCTAAGCCCTACAATTCCCTTATCCAAATTACCACTAACTAGAAAGGTAGAAGAGAAGGTAGAAGCTGCCTCCAAACCAATTTTTGGTCTTTGGTAAATAGGGCGAACACAAAACACTGTTCCACAGGCAGTTAGAAAAGAACTGCTGGGTACAGCAGGGGGAAGATCTCAAGTTCTATTTAATGCTCTTCCTAGCAGGAGAGGGAAGATAAGGAGGAAGAGGAGGAGGAGGAGAGGAAGGAGGAGGTGGAGGAGGAGAGGAAGGAGGAGGAGGAGAGGAGGAGAGGAAGGAAGAGGAGGAGAGGAGGAGAGGAAGGAGGAGGAGGAGAGGAGGAGAAGAAGGAGGAGGAGAGGAGGAGGAGGAGAAGGAGGATGAGGAGAGGGAGGAGGAGGAGAAGGAGGATGAGGAGAGGGAGGAGGAGGAGGTGAGGAAAGGGGAGGAGGAGGAGAAGGAGGATGAGGAGAGGGAGGAGGAGGAGGAGGTGAGGAAAGGGGAGGAGGAGGAGGTGAGGAAAGGGGAGGAGGAGAGGAGGAGAGGAAAGAGGAGGAGGAGAGGAGGAGAAGTAGGAGGAGAGGAGGAGAAGAAGGAGGAGGAGAGGGAGGAGGAGGAGAGGGAGGAGGAGGAGAGTGAGGAGGAGGAGAGGGAGGAGGAGGAGAGGGAGGAGGAGGAGGACAGGGAGGAGAAGGAGGAGGAGGAAAAGGAGGAGGAAGAGAGGAAGGAGGAGGAGGAAGAGAAGAAGGAGGAGGAGGAGGAGGAGCAGGAGCTGGGATTGGAGGGCAGACGCCTGTTTTGCTACTGTAGACACTGGACTTGTCTTGCTCTGCTGCCTGGGCCTATGTGTCCATTGCCCCCCACTTTCTGGATGTGCCCTTTCAGAGCCCAGAACTCTCACTTCTCTGAGCCTAACCTCCCAGCCTCAGGCATACACAGAGTAGAAATGCCGGATGCTGGGGGTCCTCTGAGGAGGGTGAACGGCAGTTTTCCTGAGAACATGGCATTCTTCCACATCACCCCCATTGCAGGTAGGGTTGGGCAAACAAGAGACTGAGTTACAGGAGGCAGAAGGCAGCTGCCCTGAGAGCAAGATAATTCAGCTGGAAGGGTGACAGGAAGCTTCAGTGCATGGAGGCAGCAGGGAGTGGCCAGGGTCACCTGGACAGGGAGGCATGGACAGCACAACTGTATCTAAGTGATACAGGGACAGTGTATCTCCCCCTCCTGAATTCCCCAGAGGAACATTGCTTCTAATTCTGGAACTTCACACTCAAACCATCAAGGAGCCTGAAGTGAAGAGGTCTCTTCTGGTCCCAGATAGCCCACTGAAGGCCCATCTGTGAAGGCTGGCTTCTCGTAGGTGGGTCTGTAGGCTGCTGCAGATTTGGGCAAGACCACTGGAGAGCTTCTTTGTGCTTTCCAAGACCCTGGATCTAGTTTTGCAGTGTGGCCCCTGGCAAGTCACTGGCCCATAACAGCAGCCTTGCTCTGATGGGCCTCAGCCAGGGAGAGCTCTCTGCTGCTGGAGAGAGGGCTGCCATGCACTGAGATCGCAGGAATCCATGCTGTGGCTGCTGGTGCACAGGCCAGGGGGCTTGAAGAACCGTCAAGCCAAGCCTGGGTGTCAGGCCCAGTGTTGACTTCACCATAGGCAGCTCCAGCCAGCCTCCACTGGGGCCACAGTGCCACAACGGCTTTGACATCTTGCCTTTCCTTTTCCTAGTATAAACTGGGTTCTCTTCTTCCATGGAGGATCCCTTTCGACTCTTGCAGTTTGAAGATTCTTCTGTATATTTTCTCTTCTTCCACCGTGGTTTCATCCACTTGTATTGCTTTCTGTGCTGTGGCAGGTTTCAGGGCTGTCTGCAAAGCTCTGGCTGTGAGTGTGTGTATTTCTGTGCCATCCAGGTCAGCTGCCACCACCTCTTGGTCCAGGCACTGTTTGTTTCTTCCAAGGACAAAGTAGTTGAGCCAGGGCATCTCCTGCAGCACTGTGGGGAGCTGAGGACGCCATGGTTGTGCAGGTTCTCGCTCTCTGTGAAGAGTTCTTCCTGTCTCACTGAGTTAGCTTAAATTGTGCCGTCCTCCATGGCTGAAGTCATTAAGAAAGGACTTGAAGGAGTTGACTACAGTCTCAAAATGTATTCCTCCTATATCCTTTGACCAGCACCAAAGGATACAAAAATAATTATTCTTTACTCAGTGCTGTCACATTCGCTGTTAATTCTGGTGGACACCTTCACACCATAGTGATGTGTTACAAGGGCTATCATATTCTTTCCATTGCAGACCTCTGATAGTCTCAGTGTGGCCCAGAGCATTGCATAGGGAAGGCTCTCCCAGAGAGCCTTTATTTAATGGCTGACAGGATGATGCTGTTATAGTGATGAAAATGGTATTTTTGAAGAGAGGCCAGCAATTGTAACAGAAATAATAATCTGTTTCTAGTAAAAAGTTCATATTAAAACCACTTGTTCCACATTACAGAAATTTTTCTGGGACTAGGAATCAGTAGCAGGGGCAGAACCCTCATGCAAGCCCAGCTCTCTGGAGGGTAAAGTTGTTTAGGGCACAGGGTTTTTGCCTTATGGATTCTTTGTTTGTTTATTTATTTATTTATTTATTTATTTATTTATTTATTTTTAGAGACAGATCTCACTATGCCACTCAGGTTGGAGTGCAGTGGCCCAATCATAAATAGCTCACTGCAGCCTCAACCTCCTGGGCTCAAGGGATCCTCCTGCTTTGGCCTCCCAAAGTGCTGGGATTACAGGCATGAGCCACCACACCAAATTCATTCATTTGTTTGAATTTCCATGGATTTCCTAATAAATAAATATGAGTGGAGAGAGTAAGATTAGAATACAGTAGTGCCCCCTCATCCACAGTTATGTTTTCTGAGTTATCAGTTACCTGCAGCCAACTGTGGTCCAAAAATATTAAATGGAAAATTCCAGAAATAAACAATTTATAGGTAGTGTGATGAATAAACAATTTATGGGTAGTGTGATGAACTCTTGCATCATCCCCATTCTGTCTACCCTGGAACGTGGCTGCTCCATTTGTCCTGCGAATCCACGCTATATACCTTGGTCACTTAATAGCCACTTGGTTGTCAGATCAACTATCATGGTATCACAGTGATTGTGTTCAAGCCACCCTTATTTATTTATTTATTTATTTATTTTTATTTTTTTTTTGAGACAGGATGTTGCTCTGTTGCTCAGGCTGGAGTGCAGTGGTGCGATCTTGGCTCACTGCATCCTCTGCCTCCCGGGCTCAAGCTATTCTCGTGCCTCAGCCTCCTGAGTAGCTGGGACTACAGGTGTGTGCCACCACGCCTGGCTAATTTTCGTACTTTTAGTAGAGACGAGGTTTCACCAGGTTGGCCAGGCTGGTCTTGAACTCCTGGCCTCAAGTGATCTACCCACCTCGGCCTCCCAAAGTGCTGGGATTATAGGTGCCACCCTTATTTTACTTAGTAACAGCCCCAAAGTGCAATAGTGTTGATGCTGGCAATTCAGATATGCCAAAAGAAAAAAAAAGCTGCCAAATGCTTCCTTTAAGTGGAAAGGTGAAAGTTCTCCACTTAATAAGAAAAGAAAAAAAAATTGAATGCTGAGATTGCTAAGATCTATGGTAAGAACTGTGAAAGGAAAATATCTTGGGCCCCCAAAATCACTAAGCTAAAGGGAAAATTCAAGCTGGGAACTGCTTAGTGTAAACCTGCCTTCCATTCTATTCAGTCATCCTCCTGCTCACTGAGATAGATGCATATCTGATTGCCTCCTTTGGAAAGAGTAATCAGAAACTCAAAAGAATGCAACCATTTGTCTCTCACCTACCTGTGACCTGGAAGCCCCCTCCCAGCTTTGAGTTGCTTCCAGTTGTCCCACCTTTCTGGACCAAACTGGTGTTCATTTTACATATATCGATTGATGTCTCATGTCTCCCTAAAATGTATAAAACCAAGCTGTGCTCTGACCACCTTAAGCACATGTCCTCAGGACCTCCTGAGGCTGTGTCACAAGCGTGCGTCCTCAACCTTGGCAAAATAAACTTTCTAAATTAACTGAGACCTGTCTCAAATGTTCACGGTTCACAGAACTAATCTTCTATCTGTGAAATTGTGAAGAAGGAAAAATACTGTGTTAGATTTAGTGTTGCACCTCAAACTTTATCATATGTATGTATGTATATATATATGTATATATAAGAAAAAAGAACCAGGCACAGTGGCTCATGCCTGTAATCCCAGCACTTTGGGAGGCCGTGGTGGGAGGACCACTTGAGCTCAGGAGGTAAAGACCAGCCTGGACAACATGGCGAGACCCCATCGATACAAAAATTATAAAAATAAGCTGGGCATGGTGGCACGCACTTGTAGTCCCAGCTACTCGGTAGGCTGAGGTGGGAGGATTGCTTGAGCCTGGGAGTTTAATGCTGCAGTGGGCTTTGATTAAAAAAAAAAGAAGAAGAAAAGAAAAGAAAGAAAAAACATAAGAGGCATGGGACTTTGGATTTGGTACTATCTCCCGTCTCAGGCATCTACTGGGGGTCTTCGAACGTATCTCCTGCACATAAGGAAAAAGACTGTTTATGTTATTATGGTTGATAGTTTTCTAGAAATCCTAATGATTGACAACCCTTTTAACTGCAATTGACAACCATAAAACCCTAAAAAATGCAACTGGACATTTTGAAAAGGCCTACCGTATGGTCTGCAAATTTTTCAGTTGTTCAGAGATGAAGGGCAATTAAAGATTACTTGTTAATCAATCAATGACACTTAATGATTGCTTTCTCTGTATAAAGATGTTGAGTTAGAGGCATTTTGGGATTCAGAGGTGAGTAACATACAGTCTCTGCCCTCAAAGAGTTCATAGTCTCTAGAGACAAATACATAAATATTGCAATACAGTGCAGACTACGATTATACCTAAGAGGATAGAGAAAGCATTTCTGAGATTTATAAGAGGGAAAAATACAATCTGGTAAGGGAATCAAGAAAGCTTTATGGAAGAGTTTTTACTTGAGATGAACATTGAAGACTGGGTGGAGAGCCGCTGGAAGAGGTGGTGAGGGAGGACATTGCCCAGGCAAATGTGCAAAGCAGAGAGAGCAAGGCCTGTGCAGAGCCGTGGGCTGTGCTGGGACATGGGAAGGGAAGCAGCGTAGATGGCCGCGGGAGGGGACAGACATGTCACGTGCATAAATATTGAAACCCTGGCACAGGGACCCCTTCTGACATCAGCAGCAGGTGATTGCAACACAATGAGACAAGCTGAAAACCTAAGTAAGTAAGCTGCGGCTCCTTAGTCAAATCCACTGGCTCTTGGAATCCATGTACAACACCCCCGGAGTCTCTTACAATTCCGTTAGAGATACGGTTGAGTGAGGGAATTCCCACAGAGCAGCTGAGGCTGCAGCCAGAGAACTCAGTTTTGTCACTTTTGCCGGGACTGTCCTATTGCATGGGAATGCAAAAGTAGTTGTACACCTGGGTATGTTTGAGGGCTGTGTGTGTGAAATTACTTGAAGATGGCTAGAGACTATAATCTGCTAGCAATTACCTTGAAAGTTTAGCAGGATGTTAGGAGTTTTCTAGGAAGTTGCAGTTCTCAGCGGTAGGGTTTTGGATCTTTTAGAAAACTGTTTGAAGGACGATGTTGTGAGGGACCTTGAAAATGTCTCGTGACAAAGAACCTTGACCAGCCCTTTGTAGGGAATAAAACCAAGGTCAACTAATAGAATGGGCAAGAGACAGCCACACTCCCGAGGAAGGCATCCCAAACCCGGGCCTCCCTGGCCTGGGGTTGAACACCTGTGTGTGCAGTGTAGAAAGCAGGGGCCTTTAAAGTGTGCCCAGGGCGACGAGCTAAGCCAGTATATCAAGACTGTCAATTCATCATCAGTCTCCCTCCTCCATCTCAGAGAGACTTCTCTCACTTGTCATAGAAAATGAACTCACCTAGGGGCAGAAGAATACAAGGCAGAGAGGAGACTGTGTGGGAGCAGAGCACCAAAGGGGAGCACGCCCACCCAGCTCTGCCCCAGGGCACCTTCTCCACTTGCTGCCCTCAGATTCCCTGCCTTGGAGGCCAAGGAGTTGGGTTGAGAAATTCTAGAATCCTGTGATTACCCCTGTGTGGGATTTCAGGCAAACAGAAGAGTCTCTGAGCTGGGCAGCAAGCAGGGGGGTCCCAGCAGTGACCTTCCTCAGGGGTCCTTGCTCTGCAGATGAGAAGGAGGGCAGCCCTGTGTGGGGCTTGGGGGGTCTTGATCCTCAGTGCGCTTCTCTGATTCCCAGACTTCTCTCTGCTTTCCAGTACCAGAACATATAAGGGAAAAACTTTTCTTCACTAATCCTCATCCTTTAATCCCTTTAAGAAATGCCTTGTATATTTATGTTTACCTCAAAACTAGGCCAGTTTTCTTTTCCTTTCTTTTTAATTAAGGCAGCACCAAAAGACAGAAGGCATTTGAAATTCCTGTGGGCTGAGAGGGCATGCAGTAGGTGTTCAAAATTTGGAATATTGGGTGATCAAACCTGGAGCATTTACTGTAAATGGCACATAAATATGCAACTTTAAAATAGAGTTCAAACTGAGGGCTGAGAGTGTCAAGGATTCCAGGTAAAGTAATAATTCCTCTTCAGTTGCATAGCACGGGAATTTTCACAGCCAGCTTCGAGAAATTATCTCAACCCCGCATTCACCCTGCAAAGAGAATAATTCCCACTTAGCAATGCAGTGATTAAAAATATAATATACGAAAAAGTCATAAAAGGTAGACCCAAGTCAATGGCTAAAGTGCATACTTCTTTAAGAAAACAGACTAGGAAACTTTAAACAAAATGCTGGACAATCTCTGTAACGTTTAACCAATTGGTTTGGCGCCAATTCTGTTTTTATTAGACAGAAATCCAGTCGCTGAAAACATGGCGTGGGGCTGTGACTGGCTGCCTGCCAGCGAATGTCTGGGGGCCCGGTCAGCCTCGGCTGCAGCGAAGGGCCGCCAGGGTTGTCGCAGTCATAGCTTTGCTCCCTGGGAAATGCACCTCCTGCAGCTCCCTCGTGTTCCCGCTGACTTGGGAGCAGCCACGCAGGCAGGCGGGAGTGGGGACATCCATTTACAAGAAACAGCTCAAGTTAAGTTTTGCTTATGTTTGCAAACGAAGCCAGGTTGGGGTCACTCATGAGAACTGATTGACTTTGTTCAGGGATTGTTCAGGCCTGGACTCCATTTTAATTTACTTTAGCCCTGTGTCTTCATCCTTTTCAAGTCTTTATTATTCAGAATGCCTTTAAAAACCCCCCAAACCTGCCAGATTCTGTCATCTGTAACTTTATATGCCATTTTAATGGAATTTTTATTCTTGTGAAAAATTTGCTTTATCCCACATTGTACATCATAATCCTTCCTCCTCAAGTCCCTAGCACTGTCCCCTCCTCTCCTCCCTCCTCCCTCTCTCCCTTCTTTCTGGTTACATAGTTTTGCATATAAATTTGACATCCTTTTAACCTTAAGATTTGAGCTACTTCCCTATGAAAACGCTCCATGAGTGGTTTCTATGGTTGCTTAGCTTCAAAGATATCATTTCAAAATCACTCTGAGTTCTGAAGTCAGAGATTATTACTAAAGAAGCAACTTCCCGAATTCACTGGGAGCACTAATCCTCCAATGTTAGACAAAATTATTTCCCATAGAATTACAATCCCCTAATAATTTGCAGTTACCCATGTTTCTTAGACCCTAGGCGGAATGAACACACATGAGCAGAAAAGGCCCAGCAGGGAATGTTCATGGGGATTCATCTCTGTAGGAATCAGATAACTGAGAAAGCCATGCTGTGTGTATTATCGGGCTTGCCTATTGATCGTTTTAGAGCACTTTCAGCTCAGTTAGGTCTTATTCACAAAGAGTCGATTCCTAGGTGACATTTTGTCCTGAACAGAACATTCCAAGGTCAGTCTAGGTCATCTAGAGCACTGGCTTCCCAAACAGTTCAGACTAATAGGCATGCGCATGGCACAAAGAGGGGCTGCCTGTTCTGTGATTAATGATACGGGTGTTTGCTCACCCTCCAGATGCTGTGGGCTCTTAAAAATCGTGAGCTGCATGGGCACAGGGGGGTCCTGTGCTTGCCTTCAGCTCTGGGCTTGCCCTTGTCTTGTAGCAGCCATTGAAGCCAGAGTTCTCGCGGTGGGAATGTTTGCCTACCCGCTACCCACAGGATGTCTTGCTTTGGATGGTATTGAGTTTTATTTGGGCTCCCTGTAAACTGTCATTTTATGACCCCTAGCAGCTATTGGGTCTTACATAAATAATTCCCAGGAGTTCATTCTGGGTTTTCTTTGTATTTGAAATGACTGATTACCTGTAGATGGAGAAGATTTACAGGTAATTCACTCACATAGATACCATATATTTGGTTACTTTTGCTGCAAAGATCCCAAGAACTTTAGTCATCTCTTGCTTTTCATGGTTTATTCTTACAGCTTCTTTTCTTGTAGTTTGTGTAGCTCAGCTAAGTTGGTTTTCTAGTGGGTTTCAGTTTGTGGTTATCTAAAAACTAAGTTGCTTATTACAGCAGAATTAAGATATGTTTAAATGTTTGCAAAGCATATTATTTTGGAAGTTTCAGATGGGGGACTTTTCTGTTTCTTTATGCAATCCAAGTTTTTTTTTCAGACTGCATGGTCTTTGGGTAGGAACAAGGCCACAAAGAGAGAAGCTCAATATTGCTCAGCGTATATCTCCACACATAATTTAGGAATTCTAGTTTGTCCTTAAATGTCTCCCAGCTGTTTCTGGGAGTCTCTAGAGGCTGTCTCACGTGTCCTTGGGGACTGACTCTCTGAACCACCTGATGTCTGTCATTTCCTGGTTTTCTGCTCTGGCTTTTTGGGTGATTTCTCCCCAGGCTGCCAGAGCTGTGTGAACCCCAATGTGCTAGGCTTGGGAGTCTCTGGGACCTTCATCCAGGCCTCCCCTAACACGCGTGGCCCACGTACCACCTGCGTGATAGTTAAAGTTACAAATCAAACTAACAAACAGTTAAGAAATGTACATAATAAATCTTTCTATCTTGATAAATGTCTTCATAATGACAAAAATATATGTAAAACCATGATTTTTATATGACTGAAAGCAAAATATCAAAGATGAATTTATTATTTCACATGTGTATTTTATAGATGCTTGGATGGATAATAAAATAAGATATACACAACTCAGGTATATTTATCAGATAAAATTTATTTTTCTTGCATTAATTTCAGCTGCATCACTAATTATATGGGTGTAATAAAGATTTTTACATAATTTGTATTCAGTTGACAGTAATAATCTAAATGATTAAAATGGAAATATATTTCTAAAAGTATACATTAAAATAAGTATACAATTTTAAAGTTAACATTATTTCCATATATTTTTGAAAAGTTATCTTTTAAAATACTAAAAATTAAAATTAAAATGAAAAACACAAATGTCAAAAATGAATATTCACTTTTAAATGAAAATTATTTAAATAGGCTGGGCGCAGTGGCTCACGCCTGTAATCCCAGCACTTTGGGAGGTCGAGGCGGGTGGATCACCTGAGGTCAGGAGTTTGAGACTAGCCTGGCCAACATGGTAAAACCCTGTCTCTACTAAAAATACAAAAATTAGGCGGGTGTGATGGTGCACGCCTGTAATCCCAGCTATTTGGGAGGCTGAGGCAGGAGAATTGTTTGTACCTGGGAGGTGGAGGCTGCAGTGAGCTGAGATTGCGCCACTGAATTCCAGCCTGGGCAATGAGTGAAACTCTGTCTCAAAAAAAAATAAAAAAAAAAAAGAAAGAAAATTATTTAAATAAAGCTGAAAATTTAAATTTGTTTTTTAAAAAAACTAATTACCGGTATGTTTTGCTTAATGATGGGGCTATATACTGAGGAAAGTGTTGTTAGGTGATTTCGTCATTGTGTGAACATCACAGAGTGCACTTCCACAGACCTGGGCGGTATAGTCTACTACACACCTAGGCTCCTACACAGCATGTGACTGTACTGAATACCGTAGGCAATTGTAATGTGGGCAATTTGTAACATGATGGTAAGTGTTTGTGTATCTAAACATAGAAAAGGAACAGTAAATATATACTATTATAATCGTATGGGACCAATCTGTTGTTGACCAAAATGTTATGTGGTGCATGACTATATATTTTATATAATTTTTATTTTTTTAATGAACATAAAACAATTTACAGTTCTAGCATTTAATATTTATCTAGATGCCAATGTAAATAATTGATATTATGTTTTCTACATTTGATGTCTAGATCAACGTATATAGATTTAAGAGTAATAGAAATTGTTTAATGTTGCAAAATATTTCTCAGTCACCATGTGGTTTCTCAGCAACTGTGGTGAATATTGCATTGATATGTGGCTCCCTCAGGAACCATGAATCGGCAAATCAAGAAAAGCAAGAAAATGAAGTCTTGGCAATATGGAGCGCTGCTGAGAACTGATATGTGGTTATGCAAGAATTTGTTGCATTTATGCTGAGGAAAGATTGAAAAGGTAAATTAACTTTTCAAAGTATGTGTGTGCGTTTTGGTCCTTTCTCACATCCATGCATTCTCCTATCAATTCCTCCCTGCATGCACAAGCAGTGTTGGCCCCAGCTTTGTGGGTAAGTGGTGGTACAACACGCAAACTTTTATGGTGTTTGGACACAGCCACCTGTGTGTTGAGGATGTTGGGCAAGAATGCATTCTGGTGCCTGGGACGGGGTTGCTGTGTCCTAAGGCTGGGTCAGGCTATGCCTGGTACCAGACCTCAGGTGAAAGAAGTGTCTTCTGGGATGGCATAGTTTTTTGGCTTGTTGTTTGCGATGGGGGGCTCTAGTGCAGCAACCCCTCTTGCCTAGTCTAGGTCCTAAGCTGTGGATCCTACAGGAATTTCTTTCCTTGACTCTCACTTAATTATGTCATTGCTGTCTTGAGTATAAAAGAAACAGACTTGTGCTCTCCATGTCCTGAGGGAATCAGGTGCCATGGTTTTATTTTTACTTGCTCTTTATTGCATGCCTCTCTCAGTAGGATTCAGGCACCAATCCAGGAAGCTGGGTGGAGGATCACTGGAGCAACATATGCCATTGTGGTGTGCCCAAAGAAACCCTTCCGCTTTGACTTGTACTCTCTGGATTCGGCTACATCTGTGGCCCTTGACTGTCTTCCCTTACAAAGACATCTTTCTTTGGAAGCTTCTTGTACTCTCATGCACATATTCCCCAGGTGGGATCCCCCATCTGTCTTCCAAAAATACCCTAGACATTCATCCCCTAAACCTGCCTGGTTTGGTCCCATCACATTTATATGATGTTACAGAGTATGGAAATGGGAAAGCAGATGAACCTACCAGCTTGGCATCCATGTAATACTTTAATTAAATTGCTAAAATTAAGAGCTTTGGGAAAAAGTTTCATAATTTAGGTTATGTTCCTTTTTTGTCTAGTGAAGGGAACTTTTTATTTGGTATTAGGACTTTGTGTGTGTTATCTAATTTAATTTTCACAGTATCCCTGCAAGGAAATGGCTGTTTTCTCCATTTTTTTTTCAGATGAGAAAATGGAGTTTTATAGATTAAGTAACTTGCCTAATTAGTAAGTGCTAACATCAATATTTGAATACTGCTTGATTTCAAAGCCTTTGCTCTTTCTGATAAGCCATTCCCTGGTTTTTACCACCACAAGTAAAAGTTTACTTAAAAAAGTTCAAGTGGGAGACACATTCTTTCTTGTATTTAAATTTGGAGGAATGAATGAACCTGTGATACTTAAAAGCCATCAATAATGATCTTCTTTGACTCTTAGTGATTCTGGCATCTGGAAGTCTGCTAGACATCTGTTGGCTGTGCCCTCTGAGGAGGCTTCATAGCTGGGAGCCTTAGTTTATGATTCATTAAAAACAAAAATAGCTGTGATGCAGAGTTTTGATTATGGAATAGATATTATTAAGAACATTAAGAAGACAGGACAGAAGACTGACATAACACTTGATTATGCTATTCTTTTAAAACTTAGAGAATTAGAGAACAGTGGAAGGTTTGCTTACTGGATGTAGCTGATAGGAAGCTTGTGGAGATATAGAACATGTTGGATGAGATCATCCGAAAGCTACAGTGAGGAAAATCCAATAGACTAATTAATATGAGTTAATTTGTAGATTTCTGCACTTAGGTTCAAAAGACCACTACATTAGAAGAAGATCCAAAATTGCTAATAAAAACAGTGAAATAACATAAAAGAACTAGGGGTAGGGTGATGTTAGCAAAGTGATAGACTAGGAAGCTCCAACTGCTCATTCCCCTACAGAAACCATTAAAAGCCAAAACTGCCGCAACTAGCTTTGTCAGAGCTTTGGGAAAGAGTCAAAGGTTTACATCAACCAAACAGATGCCCAGTCAAGAAAAGGCCATCTTCAAAATGGTCAGAGAGTTTTGTGATGTTTTTCTCATTCTTGCCTCACTCTTTCCCTGGTGTGGTAGCAGTCTTGTTCTTGAAACAGCAGCAGCCCAGTTCCGTTTTGTCCTTTAAACTGGAGGAAGCAGAGCAGACTTTATTGGTAAATTATTGCTTGTGGCTGTTCCAAACCACCTGGGGAAATACCTGAAGGACTAGCATGAAGCATTCATCTCTGTTTTTCCTAACTCAGAAGTCAGGTGGGAAAAGCTATGGACACTGCTCATAACCACTGTAAGGCAACTACTGAGCCACAGATTCCTGGGGCAAGAGATTATGGAGGCAGACATATAGCAGGCAATTTAAAGCCTGGGGGAGAAGCTGGGGCAAGACTGGAAATTAAGGCATTCAAAAGCAACCCTGTATATGGGGGAGTTTAGCAAGCCACACACATGCAGGCAAGGCACATGCTCAGAAAAGACCTGAGAAGACATTAAGCTTTCACTTTGGGCTGATTCCTAGGCTGAGAGAAAACCTAAATAAGTGTTGAAGGCTCCCCAGCACAGAGCCAACCTGCAAAGGTGGGGAGAAATCTTAGTATTCAGGGAAATCTCTGCGAAAACATTAGCTGAACACAAGCTAGAAGGACAAACGTCAGTGATCACATGTGAAAAAGACTAGTCTTTGCAAAAATAGTTTAGGCAAGTCTCAAAACTACTGGATGATTATAGCCTTCAACAATAAACCAACCAACCAACAAATGAACAACCCCTAGAGAAGGAGGACAATCTGATTTTCAAAGATTTCACACTATAATCCACACTACAATACTTAAAAACCCAATTTTCAGAAAAAAAAAATCACAAAGCATGCAAAGAAACAGGAAAATATGGCACATCAAAGGATCAAAATAAGTGGACAGAAACTGCCCCTGAGGAATCTAAAACATTTGACTTACTAGACAAAGACTTTAAAACAACTGTCCTAAACATACTCAAAGACCTAAAGGAGGCTGGGTGCAGTGGCTCACGCCTATAATCCCAGCACTCTGGGAGGCCGAGGTGGGTGGATCATGAGGTCAGGAGATTGAGACCATCCTGGCCAACATGATGAAACCCCGTTTCTATTAAAAATACAAAAATTAGCTGGGCGTGGTGGTACATGCCTGTAGTCCCAGCTGCTCGGGAGGCTGAGGCAGGAGAATCACTTAAACCAGGGGGAGGTTGCAGTGAGCTGAGATGGTGCCGCTTCACTCCAGTCTAGCTACAGAGCAAGACTCCATTTCCAAAAAAAAAAAAAAAAAGAGAGACCTAAAGGAAAACATAGACAAAGAACTAAGGGAAATCAAGAATATGAAATGTCAACAAAATGAGAATATCAACAAAGAGATCGAAATTATAAAAAGGACCAAGCAGAAATACTGGAGGTGAAAAGTACAATAACTAAAATGAAAAGTTTACCAGAAGGGTTCAGTAGGAGATTTGATCAGGTGGAAGAAAGAATCAGTAAACTTGAAGACAAGACAGTTAAAATTATTGAGTCTGAGAAACAGAAAAAATAATAAAGAAAAGCAAAGAGAACTGAAGAGATTTGTGGGAAACCATAAAGCCAAGCAACATATGCATTATGGGAATTCAAGAAGGAGACGTGATAATGGTGCAGAAAAATTATTTGAAGAAATAATGGCTGAAAAGGAAAGCCATGAGTATAAAAATAAAAGAAGCACAACAAAATCCAAGTAGAATAACTCAGAGACCCACGTGTGAACCCCTTATAACCAAACTGTCAAAAGCTGAAGACAAAGAGAGAATCTTGAAAGCTGTAAAAGAAAAGCAACTTATTAGGTGTAAGGTATCCTTAGTAAGATTATCAGCCTGTTTCTTAGCAGAAATACTGGCATCCAGAAGGCAGTGGAATGGTATATTAAAGTGCCAAAAATAGAACTGTCAGGCAAGGATTCTATATCTCACAAAACTGTCCTTCAAGAGTTGAAAGTGAAATTAAGACATTCCCAGAAATGGGAAATTTATTAACAGAAATGGGAAGTTAAACAAAAGAAGTTTATTACTACCAGACTTGCCCCCCACCGCCGAGCCCAAAATGCTAAAGGAAATCTCCCAGGTTGCAATGAAAAGATGTTAGACAGTAACTAATAGTCATATAAAGATATAAAGGTTTCCATTAAAGGTAAATGCATAAGAATATATAAAAGCCAGTATTATTAGAATTTTCATTTGTAGCTCCACCTCTTATTGTCTATAGGATTTAAAAGATAAATACATAAAAATAGTTAACAATCTGTGTTTTTTGGCACACAACGTATAAAGATGTAATTAGTGACATCAATAACATCAAGTGGGAGATAGAACTGTATGGAAGTAGAGATTGCATACGTGATTGAAGTTAAGTTGATGTCAATTCAGATGTGATTGTCATATTATTAATGTAATCTGCATAGTAACCACAAAGAAATTATCTATAGTATATACACAAAAGGCAGTGAGATGGTAATCAAAATGTGTCACTCCAAAAACAACAACAACAACAAAACAAACAAACAACCAACTAAACACAAAAGAAAGCAGTAATGAAGGAAATGAGAGCCAAAATATGGTATAAGACATGGAGAAAACAAACAGGAAAATGGCAGAATTAGCCTGCTTTTTTAAAAATAATTACTTTAAATGCATTAAAGTCTCTAATCAAAAGGCAGAAATCAGCAGACTAGATTTAGAAACATGATCCAATCACATGTTACATACATGAGACTCATTTTAGATCTAAAGACACAAACGGTTGAAAGTGAAAGATTGGAAAAAGATATTCCATGTAAATTGAAAGCAACAAGAAGCTGGGTAGTTATACTAATAGGAGATCAAATAAACTCTAAGTAAAAAACTGTTACGAGGGACAAAGAAGGACATTAGTATTGATAAGAGACTCAATTATCAAGAAGATATAAAATTAGGAACATTTTTATGCAAACATCAGAGCCCTACAGAGCAAAACTGAAGGGAATACTAAACAGATTTACAATAATGATTGCAGACTTTCATACTCTACTTTTAATTGTAAACGGAACCAAAAGACATAAGGCAAATAAGGACATAGACTTGAACAGGACAATAAACCAATTAGACTGAGCTAACTATCTTAAATATATATGCACCCAACACAGGAGCACCCAGATTCATAAAGGAAGTCCTTAGAGACCTACAAAGAGACTTAGACTCCCACACAATAATAATGGGAGACTTTAACACCCTACTGTCAACATTAGACAGATCAACGAGACAGAAAGTTAAAAAGGATATCCAGGAATTGAACTCAGCTCTGGACCAAGCAGACGTAATAGACATCTACAGAACTCTCCACCCCACGTCAACAGAATATACATTCTTCTCAGCACCACACCACACCTATTCCAAAATTGACCACCTAGCTGGAAGTAAAGCACTCCTCAGCAAATGTAAAAGAATAGAAATTATAAGAAACTGTCTCTCAGATCATAGTGCAATCAAACTAGAACTCAGGATTAAGAAACTCACTCAAAACCACTCAACTACATGGAAACTGAACAACCTGCTCCTGAATGACTACCGGGTAAATAACAAAATGAAGGCAGAAATAAAGATGTTCTTTGAAAACAACGAGAACAAAGACACAACATACCAGAATCTCTGGGACACATTTAAAGCAGTGTGTAGAGGGAAATTTATAGCACTAAATGTCCACAAGAGAAAGCAGGAAAGATCTAAAATTGACACCCTAACATCACAATTAAAAAAACTAGAGAAGCAAGAGCAAACACATTCAAAAGCTAGCAGAAGGCAAGAAATAACTAAGATCAGAGCAGAACTGAAGGAGATAGAGACACAGAGACACAAAAAAGCCCTTCAAAAAATCAATGAATCCAGGAGCTGGTTTTTTGAAAAGATCAACAAAATTGATAGACTGCTAGCAAGACTAATAAAGAAGAAAACAGAGAAGAATAAAATAGATGCAATAAAAAATGATAAAGTGGGTATCACCACCGATCCCACAGAAATACAAACTACCATCAGAGAATACTATAAACACCTCTACGCAAATAAACTAGAAAATCTAGAAGAAATGGATAAATTCCTCCACACATACACCCTCCCAAGACTAAACCAGGAAGAAGTTGAATCTCTGAATAGACCAATAACAGGCTCTGAAATTGAGGCCAATCATTAATAGCTTACCAACCAAAAAAAGTCCAGGACCAGATGGATTCACAGCCAAATTCTACCACACGTACAAGGAGGAGCTGGTACCATTCCTTCTGAAACTATTCCAATCAATAGAAAAAGAGGGAATCCTCCCTAACTCATTTTATGAGGCCAGCATCATCCTGATACCAAAGCCTGGCAGAGACACAACCAAAAAAGAGAATTTTAGACCAATATCCCTAATGAACATTGATGCAAAAATCCTCAATAAAATACTGGCAAACTGAATCCAGCAGCACATCAAAAAGCTTATCCACCATGATCAAGTGGGCTTCATCCCAGGGATGCAAGGCTGGTTCAACATATGCAAACCAATCAACGTAATCCAGCATATAAACAGACCCAAAGACAAAAACCACATGATTATCTCAATAGATGCAGAAAAGGCCTTTGAAAAAATTCAAAAGCACTTCATGCTAAAAACTCTCAATAAATTAGGTATTGATGGGACGTATCTCAAAACAATAAGAACTATTTATGACAAACCCACAGCCAATATCATACTGAATGGGCAAAAACTGGAAGCATTCCCTTTGAAAACTAGCACAAGACAGGGATGCCCTCTCTCACCACTCCTATTCAACACAGTGTTGGAATTTCTGGCCAGGGCAATCAGGCAGGAGAAAGAAATAAAGGGCACTCAATTAGGAAAAGAGGAAGTCAAATTGTCCCTGTTTGCAGATGACATGATTGTATATCTAGAAGACCCCATTGTCTCCGTCCAAAGTCTCCTTAAGCTGATAAGCAAATTCAGCAAAGTCTCAGGATACAAAATCAATGTGCAAAAATCACAAGCATTCTTATACACCAATAACAGACAAACAGAGAGCCAAATCATGAGTGAACTCCCATTCATAATTGCTTCAAAGAAAATAAAATACCTAGGAATCCAATCTACAAAGGATGTGAAGGACCTCTTCAAGGAGAACTACAAACCACTGCTCAACAAAACAAAAGAGGATACAAACGAATGGAAAAACATTCCATGCTCATGGATAGGAAGAATCAATATTGTGAAAATGGCCGTACTGCCCAAAGTAATTTATAGATTCAATGCCATCCCTACCAAGCTACCAATGACTTTCTTCACAGAATTGGAAAAAACTACTTTGAAGTTCATATGGAACAAAAAAAATAAAGATGTTCTTTGAAACCAACGAGAACAAAGACACAACATACCAGAATCTGTGGGACACATTCAAAGCCGTGTGTAGAGGGAAATTTATAGCACTAAATGCCCACAAGAGAAAGCAGAAAAGATCTAAAATTGACACCCTAACACCACAAATAAAAGAACTAGAGAAGCAAGAGCAAACACATTCAAAATCTAGCAGAAGGCAAGAAATAAGTAAGATCAGAGCATTGCCAAGTCAATCCTAAGCCAAAAGAACAAAGCTGGAGACATCACGCTACCTGACTTCAAACTATACTACAAGGCCACAGTAACCAAAACAGCAAGGTACTGGTGCCAAAACAGAGATATAGACCAATGGAACAGAACAGAGCCCTCAGAAATAATACCACACATCTACAACTATCTGATCTTTGACAAACCTGAGAAAAACAAGAAATGGGGAAAGGATTCCCTATTTAACAAATGGTGCTGGGAAAACTGGCTAGCCATATGTAGAAAGCTGAAACTGGATCCCTTCCTTACACCTTATACAAAAATTAATTCAAGATGGATTATAGACTTAAATGTTAGACCTAAAACTATAAAAACCCTAGAAGAAAACCTAGGCAATACCATTCAGGACATAGGCATGGGGAAGGACTTCATGTCTAAAACACCAAAAGCAATGGCAACAAAAGCCAAAATTGACAAATGGGGTCTAATTAAACTAAAGAGCTTCTGCACAGCAAAAGAAACTACCATCAGAGTGAACAGGCAACCTATAGAATGGGAGAAAATTTTTGCAATCTACTCATCTGACAAAGGGCTAATATCCAGAATCTACAAAGAGCTCAAACAAATTTACAAGAAAATAAAACCCATCAACAAGTGGGTGAAGGATATGAACAGACACTTCTCAAAAGAAGACATTTATGTAGCCAACAGACACATGAGAAAATGCTCATCATCACTGGCCATCACAGAAATGCAAATCAAAACCACAATGAGATATCATCTCACACCAGTTAGAATGGTGATCATTAAAATGTCAGGAAACAACAGGTGCTGGAGAGGATGTGGAGAAATAGGAACACTTTTACACTGTTGATGGGACTGTAAACTAGTTCAACCCTTGTGGAAGACAGTGTGGCGATTCCTCAGGAACTAGAACTGGAGATACCATTTGACCCAGCCATCCCATTACTGGGTATATACCCAAAGGATTATAAATCATGTTGCTATAAAGACACATGCACATGTATGTTAATTGCAGCACTGTTCACGATAGCAAAGACTTGGAACCAACCCAAATGTTCAACAATGATAGACTGGATTAAGAAAATGTAGCACATATACACCATGGAGTACTATGCAGCCAAAAAAAATGATGAGTTCATGTCCTTTGTAGAGACGTGGATGAAGCTGGAAACCATCATTCTCAGCAAACTATTGCAAGGACAAAAAACCAAACACTGCATGTTCTCACTCATAGGTGGGTATTGAACAATGAGAACACTTGGACACAGGAAGGGGAACATCACACACTGGGGCCTGTTGTGGGGTGGGGGAAGGCGAGAGGGATAGCATTAGGAGATATACCTAATGTAAATGACCAGTTAATGGGTGCACCACACCAACTTGGCACGTGTATACATATGTAACAAACCTGCATGTTGTGCATACATACCCTAGAACTTAAAGATACCAATTAGACCTAACAGACATATAGAGGTCATTCCACCCAACAACAGCAAAGTACACGTTTTTCTCAAGTGCACATAGAACAATTCTATGTTCTGTGTTTAGAATGCCTGTAACATCCTGGCCAACCAGAGGTTGTGAGTCTGTCCATGTGACAGATTTACTGCTAGCATAACCAGCATTCGAGAAAACCAGCACACTAAACAAAACTACAAGCAAGAACTCTGACAGAGTCTGCTTCACTCCTCTGCTACCTCCAATGGAGCAGATGCTGGTATACACAGCTGAGAGATCTGAACACAGATCACATCACAGGACTCTTTGCAGACACTCCCCAGTACCAGCCTGGAGCCCAGTAGCTCTGCTGGCTGGCTAGACCCAGAAGAGCAAAAACCATCACTGCATTCCAGCTCTCAGGAAGCCCTATCCTTAGGGGAAGAGGGAGAACACATTATGGGAGCACCCTGTGGGACAAAAGAATCCGAACAGCAGTCCTTGAGTCCCAGATCTTCCCTCTGACATAGTCTACCAGAATGAGAAGGAACCAGAAAAACAATTCTGGTAATATGACAAAACAAAGTTCTTTAGTACCCTCAAAAGGTCACATCAGCTTACCAGCAGTGGATCCGAACCAAGATGAAATCTCTGAATTACCAGAAAACAAATTCAGAAGGCCGATTATTAAGGCTAATCAGGGAGGACCAGAGAAAGGTGAACTCCAACTTAAAGAAATAAAAAACATGATACAGGATATGAAAGGAAAAATCTTCAGAGAAATGGATAGCATAGATAAAAACAATCATAACTTCTGGAAATCAAGGACACACTTAGAGAAATGCAAAACGCACTGGAGAGTTTCAGCAATAGAATCAAACAAGCAGAAGAAAGAATTACAGAGCTCAAAGACAAGGCTTTCAAATTAACCCAATCCTTCAAAGACAAAGAAAAAATAATTTTAAAAAATGATCAAATTAACAACTTACATTTATACCTTAAGGAACTAGAAAAAGAAGAACAAACTAAGTCTAAAACTAGCATAACTAGGGAAAAAGAAAGATTAGAGCAGAGAGAAATAAAACAAAGAATAGAAAAACAATAGAGAAAATTAATGAAACCAAAGTAATTTAGTTCTTAAAAAGATCAAGAAAATTGATAAACCTTTAGCAATACTGACTAAGAAAAAAAGAAGACTTAAATAACCAAAACTAGAAATGAAAGAGAGGACATTACAACTGATTTACAGAAATAAGAAGGATTATTAAGAAGTATTATAAACAATTGTATGACAACAAATTTGGTAACCTAAATGAAATAGACAAATTTCTAGATACACAAAGCTTACTAAGACTGAATCACTAATAAACAGAAAATTTGAGTAGACCTATAATTAGCAAGAAGATTTAATCAGTAATCAAAAATCTTCCAACAAATAAAAGTCCAGGATCAGATGTTGGTATGGTATAAATGTATCCCCCCCCAAATTCATGTATTGGAAACTTAATTCCCAGTGCCACAGTGTTGGGAGGTGGGGCCTTTTGTGATATGTTTCAGTCATGATGGTTCTGCCCTCATGAATAGATTAATGCTATTATAAAGGGCCTTGATGGAGGGAGTTAATCTCTTTTGGCCCTTTTGCCTTCTGTCATATAAAGATACACAAGTTTCCTCCCTTCTTGAGGATGCAGCATTCAAAACACCATCTTGGAAGCAGAGACTGGACCCTCACCAGACACCAGACTTGCTGGCACCTTGAATTTGAACTTCCTAGTCTCCAAAACTGTGAGAAATAAATTTATCTTCTGTATAAATGACCCAGTTTCAGATATTTTGCTATAGCAGCACAAATGGATGAATACAGATATCTTAATTGATGAGTTCTACCAAACACTTAAAGAACTAGCACCAATATTTATCAAATGCTTCCAAAAAAAATGAAGAGAAGGGAACACTTCCTGACTCATTCTATGAGGCCAGCACTATATTGACACCAAAGCCAGACAAAGACAGTACAAGAAAACCATAGACCAATATCCTTTATGAATACCAATACAAAAATCCTCAAAAAAATTAGCAAACTGGATTCAGCAACATATTGAAAGGATTATACATCATGACCAAATGAGATTGATTCTTGGAATACAAGGATGGTTCTACACATAAAAATCAATGCAATATACCACATTAACACAATAAAGGGAAAATCCATGATCATCTCAACTGATGCAGAAAAAGTATTTGAGAAAATCCAATACCTTTTCATGATAAGAACGCCCAGCAAACTGGGAATAGAAACTACCTCAATATAATAAAGCTCTTATATGAGAAATCCACAGCTATCACTATACTCAATAGCTATACTATACTCAAAAGACTAAAAGCAATTCCCCTAAGATCAGAAATAAGACAAGGGTGCCTGCTTTTGTTACTTGTGTTCAACATAATATTGGAAATTCTAGCTGAAGCAATTAGGCAAGAAAAAGAAATAAGAGGCATACAAATTAGAAAGGAATAAGTAAAATTATTTCTGTTTGCAGATGACACAATCCTATATTTAGAAAATTGTAGCAATTCTGCACCAACTCCCCCCTGGCCCCACAACAACAAACAAAGATAAACCAAAGCAAACTGTTAGAACTAATAAATGAATTC